>NC_000007.14:119173445-119476475 GCF_000001405.40 Homo sapiens | reverse complement strand
GATTAGATACAACGAGGCACAAAATCTTTTTACTTTTTAAAAATGCATACTTCCCATCAAAAAAGGGTTACTTATACAAGTATTTCTCTCTTTTAAGTATATTAACTACTTCAGTGGAAATTTTTGAGCAGCTTAGGTAATCATGTGAATGATGCTATAGAAGGAGGGGACTTGTTTTCAAATTGGCAGAATAAACTAAATAATCTCAATGACCTCAACTAAATAATCTCAATGATCTCAACCAAATGATCTCAACCAAAATCAACAAAGATGTTTTAAATCAAATTGAGATTTCTCCTCAATTAAAAATATAAAGTTCTGTCATTTAAACTCCTTGGTCTTCATTTCTCCGACCTGTAAAAGGAAATCTATACCCCTTGTATAGAAAGCACCAATACCCAAATAATGCAGTAAATATAGATACGGTCCCATTCATGAAATCATCTCAATAAGATGGTGAATTTGTCATTGGAAAGCTCCAAGTTTTTCATTAAAAATCAGTAATTTAACAGACATATTGAATGATTTACATGCCAGGTACTGTTCTCGGCACTAATGAATGACACACTCACTGTCTGGGAACAGAGGCTCTGACACTGCATTGTAAGCTTTATAGTGATTCGCAGGAGAGCACAATAATATCTTCTAAGAATTTTTCAAAGTAATAGGATATTTTGTGATTGCCATAATGATTGGTGAGGGATATTCCTAGAATTAGATATGCCAGAATCACAAACACTAAATAGTTTCTTTAACCTATAAAGCTTTGAATAACCTGCCAGATGTTCATAGTCATCAAAAATCTGCTAAGATTTTCTATACCTAAATCTATACTTTATAATTTTATATATAATAAAATATGTTAAAATAACCATACTATATAATTTTATTATAAAGTATAAATTTAGCTATATATATATGCATATATATATACACACACACATATAGTCAGAATTATATATAGTATATATATAGTCTTAGTTTACTATACAGTATATACTCTATACTTATATATACACTGTACTATACACACTGTCTCTATATACTTACATATAAATATTTAAATATTTTTATATATTTCATAGATATATATAAAATTTTGACTACTTGTCCAGTATACTTTCCAATATAAGTCTCCTTCATCTACAAAATCATTTTAAATGGATAACAACACTGTTCCTTCTACATACTACTAATGAATAATCTAAAAGTAAACTACAAATATATTTCAATTATCAATCTCATGAAAAATAAAATATACTTGAGATTAATTTTAACTAAAGAAGTACAGAAATGTGTACATAAAAATCTATAAAATATTGCTTAGAATTTTTTAAAAATATATAAATAAATGTACAGATATCCATATTCATGCATTGGAAGACATAATACATGCCAACACTTAGATGAATCTCAAAAACTCTATACTACATTAATGATGCTAGTCACAAAAGACCACATTTTTGTGTGATTGGGTGATTTCATTACTATGAAATGTTCAGAAAGGACAAATCTAGTTACACAGAAAGAAAGACAACAGGAAGTCACTGCAAATGGACACAAGGTATCTTTTAGTGGTAAGAAAGTGTTCTCAAATTGGATTGAGGTATTGAGTTTTACACTCAAAAATGAGTGAGTGTTACACCATGTGAACTGTATTTCAGTAACCCTGCTAAATGCCCCTATACGCATGCACAAAAATGCACAAACTATCAAAATTACTTTTCAAAAAATTTTTGAGCCTGACCAAAAATCCAGAAACCTGAAAGAAAATAATTGAGAATTTTGACACCCTTAAATAACAACAAAAACAAAATGCTTCTGCATGAAAATTCCCTAAATAAAATCAAATGGAAATAATATATTTGGGGTGGAGTCAGAGGTGGCAATGCAGCACTAATGAGATAAAGAGTTAAGTGTTACTAATTTAACACTGCATGTGTGTGTCTGTATATATAATTTTTTTAGGGAAGCAAATGATCAAATTTGTGCTGTATTTCAGATAGTCTAAAAAACTTTAGCATGTATAGTTTTGCAGTGTTTTGAAACCATTAGGAATTGTGACAACATTTGTAAAAGTTACAGATAAAGACAAAATTGCTTAACAACAACAACAATTTTAAGTAAATAAGGTAATATGGAGGCCTGGAATTAGAGTGCTGTCTCTGGAGATGTGCTTGAATACAAGCATTATTATAGTTAAAATAGCACTGAAAATGAGAACGGGTGTTAGTTTGTCCAGTAATGTTAGAAAATCAATAAAAAATAGAGTAGCAAAAATCAGTAGGTTAAAAAACTGTTTTTATGTCAAGAAACAGAAATGGCTAGTAAGCATCTGAAAAGATGTTTCACCTCGTAATTAAGACACTATATCAAACAAAACCATGTTCTCTCATTCAACAACCTAATTGGTAAATATACTTTTTAGAAGTTTACATAGTACTCATTGTTGGAAGGGCTGTGGAAAATAGGTACTTTCATACACGTTTGGTCACATTTTAACTTTTTTTGGAATTGTTTTTGAAGGGCAATTAGCCAATAGCTGTTAAAATGAAATATGACTATCATTTTCCCAAAGGTTCCCCTCTGAGGAATTCACCCTACAGAATATCTAAAGGGCCCTCTTGACTAGTCCAGCATAGTAGAATTAATGGCTCTAACAAAAATAAAAATAATAAAAAATGGTTAACAACTTATAACCTGTAAAATAAATCATAGTGTGCCCATAAATTGAATATTCAACATTCAGTAGAATGTATCAGATATGATTGTGTACACATTGTTAAAATTATTGAAATGAAGGAAATGTACAAAGATAAAATAATATCCTAAATATTCTATTGTTTTAAAAACATTTAAAAAAATATTAACAGTGGTTTCATTTGGGGTCAGTAGGGCTAAGAAAAAGGAAGAAAACAGTTATCCTTCCTTATATAATATTTATTATGAATGATTTACTTAAATCACAATATAATTATTTCCATTAAAATAAATAGTATAAAGCAATATTTTAAGGAAATTAATTTGAAATGTACTTTGTAGTACTTTTAATATTTTGGTATCTACTCTCATTTAAAATTCCTGAGCCTTCCAGAATAAAAGTCCATAAGTGGGCTTTTGAAAATAAACTGGGGAATAAATACATATATTTATACCATATAATTCAATGATAGTAGAATTCTATATTCATTTTTTAAATATAATATTAACTGCTTACTAAAAAAAGGTAATGATGGCTGAAAATTGCTATAAAAAACTGGATCCTGTAACTGTAAATGATATAACTGGAAAAAGCAGTCAAATTTACATAAAGCCTATAGTGAAATTAATAGTGTGGTAACAATTTTGATTTTTTTAGTTGTGATAATTATAATATAGTTGTTCAAGGTATCAATCTGAGGAAAAGCTAGGTGAAGGGTAAAGTGCAGCTTTTTGTTTTATTTTTAACTCTGATAACTCTAAAATCATTTCAAGTTAAAAATTTAAAAAACTGATATTGTAACATGGGTTTGATATGTTTATATTTGTTTTTATGATGGGAAGTACATTTATATCAGAAGAGAAAGAGGAGGTGATCCACATTTAATACACATTGTTTCCTGTCACCTGTACACTCATTGCACAATATCTCTGGAAAGAGAGACTGATTGTTTAAAGTACCGACTACAAAGATCCTGGCTGCTGCATTGAGGCTTAAGGGTTTGACCTTTTAAATAATTAAACGCAAAATTGAGTGTCTCTCTGTGCCCATACAAATGTAATAATTGCAGTCCTATGAACCTCACAGGTTTGAAGTACATTCCAGATTAAGCCAGCTCTGCAGTCATGTCTGACAACAGAGCTGCAAATGGCAAACAGCAACCTCCGCCATACAGCACCTGCCAGGTTGCACAGAACGTCCCTGTCCCAGGTGCTGTTTGCTAACAACGTCCCAACTTCACACCACGTGATAGTTCTCTCCCAGAGAGAGTCTCAAGGCCAGGCCAAGCACAGCTTTTCTCCTTTCATTTATCCTTTCATGCATTTGCTTTTTCTTTCCTTCCCTTTTGCTTCCGATAAGAGCTATTTGGTAAGGTCCTTTATTATTTAACATTAAAGAGAAAATTCAGTGAATGAAGGAAACTTTAGTATGGCTTCATTTAATTAAGCTGAGAAAAAATTTACTACCCAAGAGATATGCAATAATAATGCACATATCCAAAGCATAGAAATACTGACAAGTTTCAGGATTTTTAATCGTATGTTAGGAAAAAATTGTTTTATTACAATACTTGCTTTATTTAACTACAGATTTGTTATTACACTAAAGATTAAAATATACCCTGAATAATTACAACTCCATTTAAGCTTAAAATTTAAAATAACAAAGACAATTTCAAAAATTTTAAATTTTAAAAATTGTAAAAGTTAACATTCCTTAGATATTTATTATGTGTCAGATAATACACGGTAAATTAGAGACTTACCGTGTATCATCTATTTAAATCTCCATGCAGCCATTACGAAGGAGATATTATTATTTCCCCATTTTACAGGAGGCAAGGAAAACACTGATGATAACCTTTCGAAGATTACATAGCTGGTAAATGATGGAATAAAAATAAAGCTCAAACAATCTGATTTCTAATCTGTTCTTCTAACCATTGTTTTATATCACCCACCCCTTTCATGGCAATGAGTACTTTAGTATTCTCGATTTTTTTTTTTACAAAATAGCACATTTATGATTTTTGTTATTATAAAAATATGTGTGTACATTTGTATCTTCCTGGTCTTACATGAAAACAAAATTTTTGGCTTTAACCTCTGTATGAAACAGGCTGTTTAATTACACATTCTAAATAAAAATAGGACTGGAAAGCAAAAAGTTAGAAAATTTTGATAGAAATACAAATGCATATGTGATTATGCAACATATAAACCTTTAAAATAAAAAAATATATATTTATATTTTAAATAACTAATATGCAGTTATATATAACGCCACATTATACTAAGAGAAAGAGTTAATCAAAGTTTTTACAATTTAAATAGTTGGGAAGAAATACAAAAGCATTCTCTAGGATTGCTTCTTAATTGCACTTTTGATGAACAGACTTTGAGTCAAAAATTGCTCCCATACTCCTCATTCTTTTGGAAATACATTGAGGCTTTCATTAGTGAAGATAAATCACGAAGATGACAAGATCAGGAAGAGAGTTTGGGAAAGAATGAAATTAAGAGTTCCAAAAGTAGCTAATTTTTCTATTTTTGCTCTATTGATCATTCTTATCAATCTTCTTATCACCTGATGGTATTATGAAAATGGAACCCAGGTACTCATGCCATCAAAACGAGGCCATGCAAATGGTTATGGGGGACCTTATTAATGGGAAAGCAGTAAAGCACACAATGATATTTGGATGTAATATGGGTAACTGCAGCCACCATGGGAGGATCTAACTGGGCTTATTTTTCCTGATGTGCTAAGTGAGCCTATAAAAAATGGAAACTATCCTGTAGGATTTTTTTAGAATTAAAAAATGAGAATTCATCCAAAATTATCAGACCTTGCCTAACATACCACACATTTGCCATAATTAGAATAATAAGTATTATTCTTGCTATTTTGTAAGCATTATTCTGTACTTTTGCTCCAAATGAAAGACGACTGATAAAAATTCAAAGCCAAATTCAGTCAGGGCTATAGCACCTAAAACTGCTGAGAAAAATACTGCAGGATGAACAGGGGTTAGACCCCCTATCACACATTCTTTTACTTTTTGTCCAGCCTTTTAATGTAAGATTAACTTGTCCCTTCTAATATCCTATATGATAAATAAAAGGCATATGAGAGAAGGCTATGTCATATATCTGATATCATGTAGCTCAATGATCCCCCAAAACCAGAACAGTTCTCAGCCTGACCCATTAAATCTTAGGGGTAGGTACTTCTGTCAAAAAGAAAGAAAAATGTATTTGGAATTAATTACGGCAGAAAGAACCCTTAAGGATAAGCTGAAATATATTCTAAAGCAAAATACATCCATTGAAAGGTAGGAAAGGTACAAAAAAAGATGATCATGATAAAAGCTATAGAATAAGAGCTATTTAGTCCCATTTTAAAGTGAACAAGTAATCATTGCAATCATTAGAAATTTGTGGAGCTCTCTATTCATATAATTAAGCTATTGCTGTCTGAACTAAAAAACTCAACCAATGTGTCAAACAAAATTCACATAGACAGGACTTCTTCTTTGCTTCCAGGTTATAAAAGAATCTGAATTAGAGGTTACTTAATTTTTGTAGAATAAAAATGGCAGGTGTCTCTCATATCTTTGAGAAAAACTCGGTCATGATGTAAATTACAGGAGGCATATGCAAATCATTTCTAAAACATATATTTACAAAAGCCAATATAGATATTATTATCATTAAAAATGTTCTAACAGAGAGTAGCTTAGACAGTATTAGAAATTTTATGAAACCTGAGGTCATGAGATAGCATTCAGCATGCTAATTTTAGTCTGGTGGACTGAAAGCTTATAATTTACAGACACACACACTAAAACACACAGGAGCACAAATGCCCTAAGTAGTTATTTAGGTTACATAAGTTCATCAAACTCTCATGTCTACAAACATATCACAGAACTTTATATTTTAGGTAAGAAGTGAATAATCAAGTGTCATTCTGACTGTTAAATTATAATCTTTATTTTACAGATTAGACAACTGTAGTCCAGAAAGGGGAAAGGACCTCAGTGACATCTCAAAAGATCCAATGAGCTGGAGGACTTCAGTTTTTCTATTCACTGATGTATTTTTTCTCCACCTGATATAAATTTCTGATTAAGATCAGTATCTTTGATGAATCCAAGAATGAAATCAAAATTCCCTTGTTTTGTTAAGAAGTATGCTTAAAATAAGCCATCTGAACTTTTTGATACATAGAACAAATCAAACATTATTTTGATAAATATTCAAAACATCTATTTTGATAAATAGAACTAATCAAGCCACTTTTTGATTAATAGAATTCCAAGCTATAGGTTTAGATTTTATATTACATTCAAATAGAAAATGTCACATTTGTGATACTCTTCTCTGTTTTTGAAACAGCAATAATATGACTTACCTGTCTTTATGTCATGACTCCTTTAATGGGTGTAGGTACAATGCTGTGAATTACCTCACCCAGGCATCAGGGATGTATCCAAGGATCTTCATGGCAAAACATCACTTCCCTTGTCATGTCAATTTAAACACTATCAGTCCCACATAGTCTTATCACTGTTACTTCTATTGTAAAAGGTTATGAATGATGATTACAGAATATGTTGGGGACGTGAAGAACTCAAAAGATGTCAAGTCTAATGAGTCACACACTCACAACGAGGATAGGAAAAGTTTACTTTTTCAGAACATAAGACTTTCTGTGGACAGAGGGGCGAACTCCCAAGCAGATCCAAAATTCACTTGAGAGAGTAGGAAAGGGAGACTAGCTTGGCTTTGACTGTGGTTAGAGTTTCTTAAGCAAGGGAGCTAGGACTTGTGTTGTTTCGGTCCCAAAAGAGAGGGCATCAAAAAAGGGGCCCCAGTTAGTTCAGGTGTGAAGCAAAGGAGAAGAGGGAGTGGTGGAGCTTGAAGTCAGTTAGCAATCCAACAGCAAAAGTAGAGTCATTTTTTTTCTATTATTATATGTACCTACCCCTAATTGTTATCAGATAAATTGCCCCATGGAAAATCTACAGAGAATTCAACGTGTGATGCTTCTTTTAATGAATAGCTAAAATGTCTTTATTTTTTTCACAGTTTTACATATGTCTGCTGAGGGTAAAGCCTGCAGATAGAAATAGGATCTTGTTCTAAAATAAGACATTTGGCAGTATAGGAGTGTGTATGCAATGACGATTTTCTTTTAATGACTTTACATCTTTCATTTGGAATACAAAATGTAAATCCATTGAGAAAGAGAGGCCTGTGAGAACAAAGCAAAGAGAGCATCAATAAAACATACTGAATGTGCACATACATGTATACACCCACATACGAGTGTCCACATTTTGAAAAGTAAGCAATTCCTTTTTGCAATTTGCAGTAATCATCTCTAGAATGTGTCATTATCTGTAAATAAAATTTGAAAACCAAAGAAATATAGTTTGGTAATGCTGATTTAAATTAGATTTAAATCATTTGGATACTTCTCTGAGTCTCTTGAATTTTTCTAAATACAATGAGTGAAATATTTGCTTTTTTCAGTATTTGTTCTCTTTAGAAAGTCATTTCAAGGTTATACTGAGTTAAACAATTTGCCTCAATGAATAAATAACAAGAAGGATTAATAGTCCATTATTACCACATCTTTAGTATAATTGTAAGAAATTAAGATTGTTAATGACTCTAGGGCAAACATAATACATATTTCGTAAGCTGAGTAATTTGCAGTAATTTGATCTAAATACAATTGAAAAAGAACTACACAAAACAATCAACTGCTCATTAAAATAACTTTGCTAATATCAATATGTGAGTTTTGTTTTATAACTCAACAGAAGTTTAGTTTAATTGTGTTAATACAACAGATCTCCCTTCATGCATATCTATTTGTGCACATATAGAAGACTTATTCTTCCTTACTTCTATGAAGTTGAAGAATGATGCTGACTCTTGCTTCTTTCTAGCAAGAATATCATAATCAGCCATGAGTTATGAGCTTAAAAAACAAGGTACAGTTATTCAATAAGGAGATGCATTTGTAATAATATTTTTTGTTTTTGTAATTATTAATTATATGTTTAAAGTTTTATTTTTCCTATCTGATAACAATTGTGGTTATGGCAGAATCCTAAAATTTTGATTTAGAAATTAGATTTTTATAATTAAATAAAATAACTCACTTAATCACAGTTTCATGGGGATTACATGCTAAATTTGACATTGTTAGCATCTGGCTCTTGGCCCTTGGGCCACCCCAGGGTACAGTTTGGTGGACATGGCCCTCATACAGTGACAGCATCTTGCCCGAAGTCTTGCATCTTGCTAACTTAGGGTTTCCTCTGGCTATGGGAGCCTGTTTAACTCAAATTTGGAAAGACAGGGAAGGAAGTGCCTTGAAATTGCTGCCTCCAGGAGAAATCCTCTACCAATAAGGGATGGAGGTGAAGAAATAAGCCATAGTTATTTTCTTTTAATGAGATGCTTATATTTTACTAATCTGTTTTCATACCACTGATAAAGACATACTCGAGACTGGTCAATTTACAAAAGAACGAGGTGTAATTGGACTTAGAGTTATGCATGGTTGGGGGAACCTCATAATCATGGTGGAATGCAAGGAGGAGCAAGTCATATCTTACATGGATCGTGGCAGGAAAAGTGAGAGAGCTTGTGCAGGGGAATTTTTCTTTATAAAATCATCAGATCTCATGAGACGTATTCACTATCACAAAAACAGCACAGGAGAGACTTGCCCCCATGATTCAATTACCTCCCTGCTGGGTACCTCCCACAATATGTGGAAATTCAAGATGAGATTTGGGTGGGAACACAGCAAAACCATATCAAATATATATACTACTCAGTCGTTAAGAGCAATTTCAGCAGAACTGAGCTACAATTGTCCATAGCAGTAACTCATTCATTAACCCCACTCCCTTCTTCTTATTTACTCCCTTTCCCTTCTGCACTTCCTCAATTCCTCACCAGGCTTCCTGGAAAATATGTGGTAATTTTATGTTTGATATATCATTAATTCTTATAAGCCTTTACTAGTAACCTTTTAAACTTTAATAATGGAAAATTACAGAAGTCAACTAAAATGTAAATGTTGATATACACTTTCAAATTTATTTTAGGGAGTACATGAATAAGATAACTGAAATTTTTTAAAAAGTGTTTTGTCTGTTTGAGAAGGAACCAAAATGAGATTAGAAATATATGAAATGGACATAGGGCAAAGGCATACAAAAGCAGTTGTAGTAGAGGAAAGTAATATATCTCTTTAGTTTGGACTTTCCATTCTCCACTTCTACCTTTATTTTAAGGCAGTTGACCTTGTATAGAAAAGGTGAGGGAGGAAGAGAATATGAAAGGAAGAATATGAAGAAAAGACCAACTGCGCGTTTGATGTCTGTCATTATGTAAACATCAACTTTTTAAAAATCATTAAACTGTAATGATAAATTTTAATATGGAAAGATTCTTATAATATTAGTTTTTTCAAGTAAATACTTTTGAAATAGTTATTTCACTTAATAGTAATTAAGAGTACTACATATGGTAGCTTTTCATGTTTGTTTGTTTGTTTTTCCCCCTGGCAAAATGTGGATAAGCTCATAGGGCTGTAGTGAGGATAAAATGAGTTCATTTATTTAAGGTACTTGGCCCTGTGCCTGGCACAGGGTAAGTGCTAAAAATCTTATATAAACAAATAAACAAAAGATATTCTAGAAAGTATGTTTAAACTTTAACTTCTTGGAGATAAATTGCCTTGTCTCCCACGTGACAGTCATGTTATCAGAAACTCAGTATCTGAATGGGTACATTTTAGTTCCAAAAGTCATTTCTTGTGTTCTTATAACACTGCAAAGTAAAATATTTGCATTTAATTCTATACTTCAGAAATCTGGGAAGGGAAGTACATGTTAAACAGAAATCTGTCCTCTGCTTGATTTAGTTGCCAACATGTGAGTAAGACTTTAACTCTCTTTTAGCATACAAAATAATATAATTTATACAGTCTTACAAAAGTAGGACATTCTGTCTTTTCCAAAAGCATGAATAAACCTGGAAGACATTATGCTAAGTAAAATAAGTCAGGAACCGAAAGACAAATATTTCATGATCTTACCCATATGTGAAATCTGAAAATGTGAAACTCACAGAAATTTTGAGTACAATGCTGGTTACCAGAGGCTGGTGGAAGGGTGTGAAAAAGGGGAGATGTTGGTCATTCCATTAAATAGCAGGATAAGATTTAGTCATCTATTGTACAGCATGGTGACCACAGTTAATAATACTTTCATACTTCAAAATTGCTAAAAGGGTGGATAGTAAATGTTCTCACCACAAAAAATTATAAGTAAGTGAAGTGATGGATTAATTAGCTTGATTTAATCATTTCACAGTGTATAACTATATTGTACCTCATAAACATAATTACTATTCATTAAAAATACAAAGCAATAGAATTTAATTATTCTTTATTAGTTAAAAACCTTTATATTTTTCTGTCTTTATGTTGGGTCCTCACTTTTGTAGGTGCCTCACACATGTTAGTGCCGTTGAGAGATTAGGAGGTGTTATAGTATAAAAAACATATTACCTTACAATATACAGTATACTCAAGAACATTTACTATGATAATGAGAAAAGGTATATCAAATCATGTGATAAAAACTCATACAAAGAGGTGTTTTGATGGATTATGTTCTCCATCTATCAGATAAAAATCTTGAATGGTTTCTCTCAGCTTCTCCTCCATTCTTGCTCAGTGAACTCTGAAAAATCTTATTCTGCCACCCTACTTTTATGCCTTAATTGAACAGCCAAGTAAATAATTCTGAAAAAGAAGGGTATTTTGATAGGGATTGCTTTGAATCTGTAAATCATTTTGCATAACATTAACGTTTTAACAATATTACATTTTTTCAATGCTTCTTTATTTGTCTTGCTAGCAGTCTATCAATTTTGTTGATCTTTTCAAAAAATCAGCTCCTGGATTCATTGATTTTTTTGAAGGGTTTTTTTGTGTCTCTATCTCCTTCAGTTCTGCTCTGATCTTAGTTATTTCCTGCCTTCTGCTAGCTTTTGAATGTGTTTGCTCTTGCTTCTCTAGTTCGTTTAATTGTGATGTTAGGGTGTCAATTTTAGATCTTTCCTGCTTTCCCTTGTGGGCATTTAGTGCTATAAATTTCCCTCTACACACTGCTTTAAATGTGTCCCAGAGATTCTGGTATGTTGTGTCTTTGTTCTCATTGGTTTCAAAGAACATCTTTATTTCTGCCTTCATTTCGTTATGTACCCAGTAGTCATTCAGGAGCAGGTTGTTCAGTTTCCATGTAGTTGAGCAGTTTTGAGTGAGTTTCTTAATCCTGAGTTCTAGTTTGATTGCACTGTGGTGTGAGAGACAGTTTGTTATAATTTCTGTTCTTTTACATTTGCTGAGGAGTGCTTTACTTCCAACTATGTGGTCAATTTTGAAATAAGTGTGATGTGGTGCTGAGAAGAATGTATATTCTGCTGATTTGGGGTGGAGAGTTCTGTAGATGTCTATCAGGTCTGCTTGAAGCTGAGCTGAGTTCAATTCCTGGGTATCCTTGTTAACTTTCTGTCTCATTGATCTGTCTAATGTTGACAGTGGGGTGTTAAAGTCTCCCATTATTATTGTATGGGAATCTAAGTCTCTTCGTAGGTCTCTAAGGACTTGCTTTATGAATCTGGGTTCTCCTGTATTGGGTGTATATATATTTAGGATAGTTAGTTCTTCTTCTTGAATTGATCCCTTTACCATTATGTAATGGCCTTCTTTGTCTCTTTTGATCTTTGTTGGTTTAAAGTCTGTTTTATCAGAGACTAGGATTGCAACCCCTGTTTTTGTTTTGTTGTTTTTTTTTTTTTTCCATTTGCTTGGTAGATCTTCCTCCATCCCTTTATTTTGAGCCTATGTGTGTCTCTGGATGTGAGATGGGTCTCCTGAATACAGCACACTGAGGGGTCTTGACTCTTTATCCAATTTGCCAGTCTGTGTCTTTTAATTGGAGCATTTAGCCCATTTACATTTAAGGTTAATATGGTTATGTGTGAATTTGATCCTGTCATTATGACGTTAGCTGGTTATTTTGCATGTTAGTTGATGCAGTTTCTTCCTAGCATCGATGGTCTTTACAATTTGGCGTGTTTTTGCGGTGGCTGGTACCAGTTGTTCCTTTCCATGTTTAGTGCTTCCTTCAGGAGCTCTTGTAAGGCAGGTCTGGTGGTGACAAAATCTCTCAGCATTTGCTTGTCTGTAAAGGATTTTATTTCTCCTTTACTTATGAAGCTTAGTTTGGCTGGATATGAAATTCTGGGTTGAAAATTCTTTTGTTGAGCATAGAATGTTTTTCTTTTTTTGTGCCCTCTTCAATTATTTTCATCCATGTTTCGTAGTTTTCCTCATGGAGACATTCTACTCTTTAGTTAAGTTTATTTCTAGGTATTTTATATTTTTTAGCTATTGCAAATGGGATCGCTTTCCTTATTCCTTTTTCAGCCTGTTCCCCATTGGCAAATAACTGCTGCTGATTTTTGTAAGTTGATTTTATATTTTGCACATTACTGAATTATTAGTTCTGGTTTGCTGGAGTATTTAGATTTTTCTAAGTTCATGTCATCAGCAAACAAAAATAATTTTTCTTCTTCCTTTCCAATTTGTATGGCTCTTTTTTTCTCTTGCCTAATTGCTACAGGTAGGATATTCTAACTCATATTTGGGAGCTAAGAAGGCGGATTCCTTGAAGACAGATTGGTAGTTACCAGAGGCCAGGAAAGATAAGAAGGAGAAGAAGCTAAAGAGAGTTTGAGTAATGTATACAAATAATAGCTATCTAGAAGAAATAAGACTTAGTATTTGATAGATCAGTAGGGTGACTACAGTTTAAATAATGTATTGTACATTGCTAAACAGCTAGAGGAGAATTATTTAGATGTTCCTAGCATAAAGATAAATGTTTAAGGTGATGAATATACCAATTATCATTATTTCATCATTACATATCATATGAAGTGGTCAAATTATCACATGTATCCTAAAATATGTAGATCTATTATGTATTAATGAAAAATAATTATGGAATAATTCTAAAATTCTTATGCTGATTTACAGTTGGAAAGGGAAATTTAATAAAAAGAATAGACCAGGTATGATAGGTCACAGAGGAACAGGTAGAGAAAAAAGTATTTTTTTTCCTTTGAGGAAGAATAGTTTGTTGAATGTAGCACAGAGAAGTAAGATTGGGGACATGTTCCAGGAATGAGAGATTGAAACAGCCAAGAAAAGATTTAAATTTATTTTTTGTTAAAGATTGCAAGAAAGATTTGCATACATTTTCATTGATTTTTGATATCAGATAATGGCATACCAAAAATGGGACCAGGAAGAATAGATGTATTGTGTTTGTGTATGTGTGTCTGTGTGTGTATGCAAATGAGTGCACATATATATTCATAAACAGCATACTCAAGAGAATCCTTCAATATATAACTGGTCTCTCCTCATTGCTGCCCCTTTTGAAATGTTTAACTGCTATCATTGTACTTTTTTATTACTCTTTAAATAGAAGAGTTTGCCTCAGGTTATGTTTTTCTTCTCAAGTCATTTTGTTGCTGTTGTAGCTGTTTGTTTGTTATTTGTGTAATTTTGAAACTGGGAAATGTTTTACTTCCAGGAATTCTAAATCTACTCAAATTATTGCTATCTCAATAATAAATTTCTTCCATTTACTTGTTTTTAAGAAATGTGAAACTTGCATATGCCATTTGACGATGCTTTTTTGCAGGTGAAATAAAATGTTTTAAATAAATGCAAAAAATTGTATTCAAAATTAGAGGTTTTTATTCATCCAAATATATCACATTATATAATACATACATTAAGCAATACTGCAAAAATTCTATTTAATTATTAAGTATTAAGGTTACATATTATTGTTAAATATTAAATCTGCTGTACATAGGCTGAAGCAATCTATTTCTCATAATACTATCCTTGTGTTTTTAAAAGACATTTTAGTTTGTTTCTTTTGGGATGACTCTGAAATCATGATTGATAAAATAGTGCAATTCTATTATTTTATTGGCCAACTATTTTATGAAAATATGACCTCAAAATGTAAATCTTGGGAAATTACCCAAGTGTCATTTTACTTAAAATGTGAATATATTAATATAAGAACTTGTTAAAAGTTTATTAGGAAAAATTAAGCAGTAACTTCAAACTCTAACCATATAAGATTTAAACATTTTTTAGGTTAAGATTTTTATTACCTGATCATGATGAATTTGTCTACACCTCATTAAGCCTAAGGTCTTTTCATGAAATTTAGGCACCTGTTATTGCTATGATTCTCAAATGAGAAAGATCCACATTAACTCTCCCAATTGCCACTGTCACCCTCTGCAGAAAATACATTTATTGTGTCAAGCAACAAATGAAATCAAAACACACACACACAAGAATATTTTAAAGGAATATACAACAATTGCCTTCATATGTTTCTCCTGATTTGGAATATAGAGTTTAATTTGTTAATTAAAAAACTATATATATTTAAAATATTACTCTCAGTACAGTTGTTTCTAGGGGTGCAAGAAAATTCTGTATTCATTTACTTACTATTTGACCTCTATACCTGGTTTTAGAGTGAGGGGCTATAAATACTGACTATCAACTTGAAGATAAATATTGATCTCAATAAATGCCATAAGATGTTAGTAATATCATTCATTTCTACAAAGAAATATGTTTGGAAATAATGAAATAAATTATTTTGTTCCTGGACTGAAACTTTCTATTTAAAGCCCAATAGGTTAAAAGTTTTCTGTTGTAAACAATATTCCAAGATGATCTCTCAGATTCTTACTACTTGGTATAAACATACACCTTGAATTAATATTATCTCATTGAGTGTGGGCAGAATCTGTAGATATGAAAGTATAATTGCTCTGTAGCTTAGATTATGTTATAAGGCAAATAGTGAAGACAGAGTCACTCCTGGGATTGTGTGTGTGTGTGTCTGTGAGTATTTCTTTTCTTCCTTTGTAGAATACTGGAAGAACATTAAAAGTCAGAGAGATGTGCTCCTGTTCATCTGGAAGAAAGCAAAGAATCATGCTCTGAACTCCTTTTGGGGGCATGTGGCCAGGAACTGAGCGTGACCTCTAGAAGTTGAATGTGGTCTCTATTCAGAAGTCAGTAAGAATATGGATGCCTTAGTCATACAACTTCAGGGAAATGAATTTTGTCAACAATTAATGAGTTTGGGTAGTACGCTGAGGCTCCAATATGAATTGGGAGCCCAGATGATTTTTAGCCGGGGGTCCTGAGCACTTTGTTACCTTGTACCATAACTCCCGTACCATGGAAACTGTGAAATAAATTTCTGTCATTTTAAACCACTAACTTGTGGTAATTTGTTATTCAAAAACAGGAAACTAATGAAATCACTGTTATGCGATGAGGTGGCAACTAAAAACCAGTTAGCTGCTTTTTCCATTGTCAACGATTTTTACTGTTAGTTATTAGCTAAACATTCTCTTTTATAGATTTGTTTATCAAATTTTAACACAGAATTAAGGGGCTATTGGAGGAATAAGAGAAAATTAATCATTTTATTTTAATTGTATATTGCAGTGTAATTCTGACATAACATTGTTTCATAATATGCAGATATTGATAATCTAAATTCAAACCATATATTGGCAAGTTAATTTTATAAAATATGTGTATGTTATTTGACAGAGACTAACTCTCCCTACTACATTTGTAGCTATTTTTGGTGATATTAATGTGGATATTCTTAAAATTACATCTATTTAAAAATCTTGGCAAAGGGAAGGACAAGACGTTGTGTTATAAAATTTAATATTGTGATGATAAAAGATGTGCTTATTAATATTCACCACAATGCCAGAAATTAACGAAGGAATGCAGAAGCTCATTCAAAAGTATCATAACCTTCTATTATCTAAAATGGAACCAATAAAAATATACTGCCTTTATGGTTGAAATCATGCTACTTTATTCCTGATTTCTAAGCACAGCTCTGCCAATGACTTTCTGATGTTTGTATTTTGCTTCAAGTATGACCATGGGGAAGCTTATCTTTGATTAGCTTCCATATATATCTCATTATGCACTAATAGATTATTTTATCTTTGAAGAATAAGGAGAAATGTCAACTTTTTAAGAATAAAAGATAAAATTTTCACAAGATAATATAGTTTCTCTTGTCACATTCATTATCAGGAAGATTCACACTAAACACAACAATCTAGGTAACTTCTTACATACCTACCAAAATATTAGAGATACATCAAAAGTGAGCTCCTAAGAACCTAGTTATTGCTTATCATAGACAAGTTTAATATATAAATAGTTTTTATATGAGATTTATCTTCATTGACTAACAATATATAAATAAAAAGTGTGGTAGAAATAAGCAGAAATAGTTGATAAGCTATAGTGTTGTTATTCAAATATTAACAATTTCCCACTGTCCTAACAGAAAGTATGAAAGGTACCTGAGATTTGTGACATTTTTCTTACTCATTATTCTATTTCACATTATTCCAAACAATAATAGGAAAAATCAAATTAGATTATGTCACGTGCTATATGATGTTCTTTTATGACCTTCCACTTGCTACCTATAAACTTAGTCAAATTGCATTTGTGAGAAAAATGTAATTGTTTTACATTGTTTTCAAATCTATTTAATGTCTTCCTTAATAGAAGGCAGTTGAATTCTCACATCTGCTTTTCATTAAATTTTTTACAATAAATTGGCTGAGGTATATAAAGAAAATCAAAGTTTCATGTAGATATGTAGATGGAAATAAAAAGAGGGGAACTTTAATGATCTTCTCAGCTAATTGTTGGTAGTGTTCTTCAAGAACAGATAAAAGTTATTTAAAGGTTAGTTTCAAAATGGAATCTGAAAAAATCAAAATAATTTTATATTCTGTTACATTAGAATCAGTTGACCTAAGAAGAACCTTGAATGGACCTTTTATTCACAGATAATTTTATAACATCATGCATTTGTCATTTGGAAAACATGAGTTCATTGATTTATGAACATCTTCCAAATGTAGGTGAATTTCATTTTACAATATCAAAAATTAACATTGTTTAATATAATTATTAATTTAATTGGAATATTCCTTTATGTAGTCACAGGCCATCAAGTTCACAGTGATGGAAACAAACCCCTAAAATTCTAATTCTTCTTTTCTAAAAGTTTATTATTTTCCACATATATTGTCAATTGTCTTCTGTGATAGGCTTATTTTGTTCATTTTTTGAGGAAACATCTTCCAAATACCCAGACACGAAGTAGTATAATTTGTCTGTAAGTCATTGTCGTTAGTAAAAGTTCCAATCTATGAAATAAATGGTTAGTTTTTCTGGCTACTCAAAACAAACCACTGATATTCCTTGAGACAACCATCATATTTTGGTAAGGACTGACTTGCTTTAAGTGTACATCTCCTTTTGTCAAGCAGATTGTTAAAAATAGATGTATGTGACTTAAGGATCAAGTTTTTGTTTATAAATACTATTCTTTGTTATTTAAATATATTCTTAAGTTAAACTGATATTGGATTATATGGCGGTGCATGGCAATGAATAATACAGTAATTAGTAATAAAATATGGGGACACTGTCTTGCTATAAGTCACTGGCAGTTTTATCCCCCATTGCTTTTCACAATCAGTGCACTTACTGACACAATAAAAAGGCAGATAATATCTTAGAATTATTATGAAAATAGATTGTATTTCCTTGAACCCCTAAAAGGGCCTGATAATTCTCTAAGGATTTAGGGACAATAATTTAAGAATTAATATTTTAAGAGTGCCCCACCTGCTTCAGAGCCATGATTTTGTCACAGAAGATTTGATAAGGCTAGAAGTCTTGTGCTTCTGATCCATTCTCCACAATTCCCCTTTACATCTTCCTCCTCTAGAGCAATCGCCATAGGGCTGTTTCACTTAGCTAATCCAGCTCACCCAGTTCACTTTACAGTCATCCACGGTGAATATAGATAGCTAAAGAAGCCATGTCCTCATTTTTTCCCTTATGGTCCTGTTCTCAGGAAAAAAAAAAAAAATCTGATGTTCACAAAATACGAATGTCCTGGAAAATTACTGTAATGAAACTTGAGCTGATACTTGGAAAATAATCATATTATGTCAATATCAAATAGAAAATGTCTATTTTAGCTGGAATTTTAAAAGTAAGTAAAATCTTACTAAGGCTTCTATCTGGAAAGTATTCCATGCATTAGTACTCTAAAGACAATAAAAGATTAGTCAGAATTACTCTATGTTTGTTTCTATTATATTAGCATTAGATAATGCACAGAAAAGAAGTAATAGAAATAAGGTTAATATGGAATAGAGGGTCAGTGCCTATAAGAGAATTTAAAAATACACTGTCATGAAAAATGTAAATTATATTGTTACTTTTTTCCTGTCTCCTAACCAGGTAAAAATGCAGTATTTTAGAAAGGTTTTATTAAAAAAATTGTCTATGTGGAATGCATAAAGGGAAGAAAACAGTGAACTCAAAGAGATCATTTATAATTTTTGATTTCATCTTGACTTGTGCATGAGAATAATCTCCTTAGGTGGTATACTGTGTTCTTCCATAGGTGTATAAAAAGCAGTGCATATTTAACCTGTTTAAGCATGAGTTTAAATACAGATCCAATCTTATTGTATAGTTTTCTACTTCATAGGAAAATTAACCATTTTATATTAGAAACTTATAGTCTATGGAAAAACAAATTAGGTTGCCACAAAATTTGTTAACTCATAATGTAAAATTGGTAATATCTTAAGGGAAAGATAGTTCACTTATCCTTGCATATACATTGTTTTTGTTTCTTTCATTAAAAATCAAGTTTCTCTACCACCAAAGTCTAAGTTTCATGTTGTTAACCTCCTCTTTCAAGGAAAATAAGGCTAAAGTTACTACAGTTGTTTGAATTTCTTTTCTAGAATCCTGTAACCAAAGGTAAGTCAGAGATGGGAAAAGTGAAATAGGAAATAATTCATTAAATTTTTATTCTCTAATCCCTATGTCTATATCTTTGTAATCATAGCTAAAATAAATAAATTTAAACTTAGGAGAATGTATAGATTACTCACATTAACAACATGAAAATTTAAGGGTTACTGCAGAAATATTTCATACTGAAATATTTCCAGAAACTATCGATGTGTTAGTGTGTTTCAAGGAAGGCATAGCAAACAGATAGTGTTTGCATAAAGGACATAATGCAAATTAACTCATCAAAAATGTTATGGGGCTGTTTATTTTAAACTGTAAAACGTAGTCCAATTATCTCTGCACACATTTGCAGAAGCTTTTTGGTTAAATTAGGTAGATCAATATGATGGTGAGGGTGTTGATGGAGGTTAAGAGCAGTCCTGGCACAGTTGTTTGGTCCTCTTTCTTGGCAGCCTTCTCAGAAAGAAATGCCTTTTTCCTCACACACGTTTGTTGTCCAATCAACCCCCAGGCATCTGCTACAGCAGACGGGCTCTGCCATGTACCTGGAACCATGAAGCAAGTGTAACCAGTGCTTTCTCCACCTCTGGGTGAATTTAGACAGGCTTTAATAGTTAGCATGAGTTCATCCAGGAAATAGTTATTGAGCATCTGATATATGGAACATTGTGGTAGTTAAAGAGTTGAAAGCAGATCTGAGTCTTAACCTCACGAAGCTTTGGTCTAAAATGCTTTGCCCAACTTAAGATTTAAATTCTGTGTGATTTTTTTTCATTAGATTTACCTCTGATCTCATAATCCAGATACTTTATGCCATAGTACTTTCATTTTTATTTGATATTTTTTCTTTTATTTCCGTATTATTTTATTTTCATGCATTCCCACAGGAAGAAGAAAACTTATTACTTCATTCACGAATTGTCTAGAAGCTATTGCATACATATCATGAAATGTCAGCAGCAAAACCCAGACAGGAAGCAAGTAGACAAGCATCACTCTCCTTAGGTACCTGTTCTGCTTTATCAGCTATCCAATCTCCATCCCTTATTGAACCTTCAGATCTTATTTCCCTTCCTGTGTGTATTACCAACTCTAGGGGTTTCGTAGTAATTTTAAATTATCTAAAGACCTTGTTTTTCAACGTGAACATGAAATATCTTGATCCAAGAATATCTGAGGGAGTAGGCCTTAGGTAGGCCTTAGTAGTCATGTGTATTCTGTCTAGTGTTTACATACTGATAATACTGAACACATAATCACTGATTTTAAAAAATGATCTCAAGATTATGATGGTATCCCCTTTAGGAATGAACTTTAGGAATGACATTTCAGTGGTGGAAGCAGCAGTAAAAATATGCTATGACTTCATGGTAGTAGCCTTGCACATTACTACATCGTAGAGGTATGGAGGGGGATTCTATATGCAAGGTTCTAGTATAATGGATTAAAAAAATCCTTTATGTTAGGGCAGCAGTTTATTATCGTGGTATAAGTTCTTGCTTTTAAAAATGTATATATACACACATTTATACATATATGTATAAATATACATATATTTATATATAATGTATATATGTATATATACACATATATTTATATATAATGTATATATGTATATATACATATATTTATATATAATGTATATATGTATAAATATACACATATTTATATATAATGTATATATTTATGTATAAATATATGTGCATATACGTTTATATTCACATTTATATATTATATATTATATACTATATATTGTTATAGACATATAATGTATAAATATAAAGATATAAATGTAAATATAAATACATATCAATGTGTATATATATACACACACACACATATATACATATATCTGTGCTCTCTAGAAGGTTTAGGCTAAAAATATGCACTGATTTGTACTGTATTGATATCTATCCACTATTTATAAAAAAGGAACAACTTATTACTTTTGCTTTTATGAAATAAGTAAAACAACCTGCAAAGTAAATAATCCCTAATATCTATGACAAATAAGAATCATTAGACAATTTAACTGAGCACATAATTTAAAAATTTTAGAAAGAGCACAAATTAACCAATATTTCAGATCTCTTTTGTCTACAGAAAGTGTGTGCTGATGTTACCTTCTCCCTTTCTATTCATCTCCACCTTTTTCAATAGCTTCTTATCTATTGAGACTGAAGAATGCAATGATTGGCCTTATAAAATTATACTGAGTACTGTCCCTCATAGTTTGGAGTACTATGAAACTTCAGCTAAATACATTTGAAGGGAAAATATAACATTTTAATAATTTTGATTTGTCACATACTTTTTATTTTATCCTTTCAAATCATTATCTTTCGTTCATGAGCTTATTCCTCCCACAGGAAGATGAAAGCATATTACTTCATTCATGATTTGTCTGGAAGCTATTGCATAGATACCATGATACGTCAGCAGCAAAAGCCAGACAGGAAACAAGTAGACAAGAATCACAATGATCTCTGCAATTACATTTTCAAATAGAAACTGTTGACAATCTACATACTGTTGAAATTAATATTTACTTCTGATATTTTAAACCATGCTTCAGAGAGGACTGAAATATTTAGTAGATGTTTTCACTTTAGTCATGCAATTTTGTATTAAAGGCAATAAGACGGTATTCTAAAAACAACATATTTATTTGTTGTAAATTTGAAGTGTTTGGATTTTCTGTATTGTATCAAATGGCAAAATATCATTGCTGAAACAGTAAAACAGAAAACATCAACAAAAAAAATCACACAAAAATGAATAATGGGTTTGTCATCTGAAGCTCAGCAAGATTTTATGACTAAAACATTTTAAGAAATCAACACATCTTGCCATGTTTTTACCTACCCCAAGTTCTGATTGCCAGACTGAAGTTTTGCTAATGAAAGGCCCTCATTTGCTGCCTCTTGTACATCTTTTATCTACCTCCCCAACCATGTCTATTGATACTCTGTACCACAATCAGGACTTTTCATTTAAAAATAGATGATCTGATGAAGACACAATAAAATTTTAAACCTGTCCAGTACTGCCACTTCCTCATCAGGGCATCCTCACAAAGATGTTCTCCTCCTCTCCTTTTGCACTCTCTGGTTTGGCCCAGTACGTCCATCTTCACAGCACACATGTTCAGCACTGCAGATTCTTTTTTGCCAACCACTGTGCTGTGATATCAGAATAATCATCTGCTCATTTGAATCACTCTGAGATACATGTAAGCCAAAATAAGCCTAATCAAAACTAATATACTTATAATAATCTTTGTGATATACATGTGTCTAGGTAACAAAAGCAATTGATTTTTTAGTGAAAGCAGATAGCCTAAGCGTCATCATTAACTATCAAATATACCTTCAAAACATCTAAGAAATCTTTCCAGATAACTCAGTAAATCATTTATTTTTGCATTTTTTTGTACTAAACATTTTATGTTTCCTCTTTTATATATAAACTCCCATATTACATCAGAATAGAGATAATTTACAAAATCATTTAAATATAGGTAATGAAATTGAACAATGCAAATACATAATGGGTGCAGGGGAAGTATACATAAGACAGAAAATATTAGGAGGGCAGATATTACAGCATCATACAATAGGGCTGCAAATTTAGCTCTGCACTTTTCTGGTATCTTTGGAAATAAATTGAGATTTTAAATGTGTCTTTAATATTTGGATGCATCACAAATGATGCTATATATGTGTGTGTGTATATATATATATACACACACACATATATATATAAGCTCCAACCATCAAACATGCATTCCAAACAAGAGCAGATTCAATAACCATGAAAAATCTTACTCTGCAAGTTTGCTTTCACAAATGTGTGGTCTTTTTATAAGAAAGATATAATTAAGTAGTCAAGTTTTAAAGAATAAAACTTTAAGCAAATAATAATCTAATTTATTAGCATTATTATAATGCTATATCTCTGGCAAATAATTCATAGCTAAAGCTAATAACATTTCATAAATTTTAATAAAATAACTGAATTTAGGACACAAGTTATGTTAGTGATGACTAATATTAAGGGTATAGCTCTAGAATTAAAATGAATTATCATTTCAGTGGAATCACTAGTATGAGGAAGCATAATTCATATTTGTCTTATGAGTAATTGTGTTCATTTATGCTATTCCCACTACAGAAATACTCGCATTAAGTTGATTTGAGGAAAAGAAAATAAAGACAAACTCTTAAGAGTTGCTTTCTACCATATTTAACATATAACGAAGTTTGCAGAGGACAAAAATGTAACAGCTACTCTGAATATAACTTAATGATATTCTTTCAATTCCTGAAACACATTAATAGTACAGTACACAAACACACACACATGTAAGTACATACAATATTGAAAACAAAGTCTTTGTTTATCCCTTATTTTTAACGTATATATATTGCATTAAATTATTATTGAGACACACAAAACTACCTATATTTAAAATGTATTATTGGATAATTTTGACATATGTATACATCTATAAAATCAGGACCACATCAAGGTAATAAACATAATCATCACTTTAAAAATTTTCCATGTATCCCTTGTAATCCACCACTCTCACCTCTTCTCATTTCCTCAACTAGGTAAGCACAGACCTATTCTTTATCGCAATGAATTTGTGCATTTTCTAGAAATGCATTAAATCATATACAATATACTCTCTTTTTTACCTGACTTCTTTAACTCAGCATAATTATTTTGAAATTCATTTACATTTTTCTAAATAGCCCTTACATTTTAGTCCTGAGTAGTATTGACACATTTTTTTATCCCTTCACTTGTTAATGGATATTTGTATTGTTTCCAATGTTAAGCTGTTAAAAAGAAAGTGGGGAATGGTAATTTGTATATAAGTATTTGCACGGACACACGTTTTATTTCTCTTGGAGTTCCTGGTTCATATTCTAAGTGCACACTGACAAACAAAACTAACAACTATTTCCTAAATTAGTTGTACCATACTATGTTTCCACCACCAGTGTAAAGAGAGTCCGAGTTGCTCCACATCCTTGCCAACTCTTGGTTTGGTTAGTCTTTTTTTTTTTTTTTTTTTTGTGATGGAGTCTTGCTCTGTCGCCCAGGCTGGAGTGCAGTGGTGCGATCTCGACTCACTGCAACCTTCGCCTCTTGGGTTCAAGTGATTCTCCTGCCTCAGCCTCCCGAGTAGCTGGGACTACAGGCGTGTGCCACCACGCCCGGCTAATTTTTTTTGCATTTTTAGTAGAGACGAGGGTTTCACCGTGTTAGCCATCTCAGCCTGCCAAAGTGCTGGGATTACAGGCGTAAGCCAGCCACCGTGCCAGGGCCCTCTTAATTTACTCGTGTTATCAAAAATTAATTTTCGATTGCTTAGTGCTACTATATAGAAACATAATTGATTTTTCGTGGTAATAGTTTATTATATAGTAGTTTTTATCCTGTAATCTTATTGAACTCATTTAGTAATACTAATATCTTTTTGTCAATTCCATAGAATTTTTTTCATCAATGATTATATCAACCATGAATAAAGACGTTTTTTATTTCCTCATTTTCAATATAGATGCTATTTATTTATGACATTACAATATCAAGAACCTCTTGTACAATATTGAGTAGAGAAAATGTCAAGATGGCTGACTAGACACAGCCAGGAAGAACTTCTCCCATTGACAGAGACCAGAGTATCAAGTAGACTGGAACACTGTAAGCTGATGTTTGGAAAGAAGACATTGAGAGTTGATAGAGGAAAGATGCAGACCCTGGGACTGAAGAGAAAAGAAACTAAGAGCTCTGGATGGGGTTGCCAAGAACCAGGATTAGTTTCTGGCCTCAAGTGACTCCTAGCAAAGGGGTGAGTGATACAGGTATGGAGCAGCCCACTGTCAACAGAACTCTGGAATCCTAGAAGTGAGAGATGCCCAATACCACCACAGATATCTGAGTTGATAGGGAGAACTTTCCAGAGAGTTGGCAGAGACAGAACTCTATTCTGTGTGGAGCCATGGAGCCCAGATGGTTTGGCATGGGGATGACTGCAGTGGAGCACAGTCATCAGTACCCATTCACTAAGGCTCTCCATATTCCTTCAAGTGGTGTTAGACTTTGCCAGACCTAGAGAGAGCATGGCTATCTTGCCCTCAGGACAGGGCCAGTCTAGTCTAAATGTTCTCCATATGCTGGCCTCTCCCAAGGTCTCTGCCTGGCCACACCAGGTTACAGCGTAGCCTCAGCTGCCCTATTAAAGCACTTGACACTGATCAGTGCCTTAAGTCTTTTGTTGACAGCACCTGCCTTCCTCTCAAGTCAGTTTCACAGACGGACTCCCACTGGTGAGTACTTTCCATAGCTTACCCCACCAGCATACACTTGTCTTCAGTTTTCCTCAGCCATCTGGCTGGCATGCAGGCAAGCAAAAACCCAATACCACCCCATTACAGTGCACATGCCCTTGGCTCCCCCACAACCCCCATTAGTGTGCAGTTGCTCCTGGACCCCTCACTGCTGCCATGCCAGTGTACAATCACCTATGGCTGCACTGGGTCTCCACTGATGCACACACACCCACTGCCTGTTCACTACTTCATCAGGCTGCTTTTGCTGGCAGCATCCATCAGTGTTGTTTCTAGTGGACTGGGAGCACCTCAGCCCCTCCAAAACAGCATCTCCTTAACCTCAAGGGGCCAGAAAAAAGAGTCATGGGCCTGATTTCAGGACTGCAGGATTAGAGCACACAGCCCAGGAGTGTTGAGCTCAGTCTGTGAAGACATCCAGAAATGAAGCCAATTGACTAAATCCAACTTACACCAGAGTCAGAACCTCAAGGGCATCAAAGAATATAAAAGCAAAAAAGCCCTATCCAAAGTACAGCAACTTCAGAGAATAAGGGACCATCACCCACACAGATGAGAAAACAAACAAACAAACAAAAAACAGTGCAAGATTACTCGCAATTCTAAAAGCCAGAGTGTCTTCTTTTACCTCCAAACAATCACACT
Source organism: Homo sapiens (assembly GCF_000001405.40). Classification (NCBI taxonomy): domain Eukaryota; kingdom Metazoa; phylum Chordata; class Mammalia; order Primates; family Hominidae; genus Homo; species Homo sapiens. The sequence continues at coordinate 119,449,709 of NC_000007.14, read as the reverse complement.
AGGTTCCCAGCAATTGTTAACAATCAGATAAAAATGGCTGATATAATGATATAGAATTCAGAACCTGGGCAGCAAGGAAGCTCAATGAGATATAGAAGAAGGTGGAAATCAAATTCAAGGAAAACAGCAAAAGAATCCAAGGGTTGAATGATGACATACCCAGAAAGAACGAAGCTGAACATCTGGAAATAAAAAAAAAATACATGAATTTCATAATACAATTGGAAGCAATAATAACAGAATAAAGCAAGCTAAGAAAATCACAGAGCTCAAGACTATTCCTTCAAATCAATTCAGACAAACAAAATTAAAGAAAGAAGAATTTTTAAAAATGAACAAAACCTCTGAAAAATAAAAGATCATGTAAAGAGACGGTACCTATGACTCATTGGCATTCCTGGAAAAAAAATGGGGAGAGAGCAAGCAACCTGGAAAACATATTTGAGGATATTATCTATGAAAATTTCCCCAACCTCACTAGAGAGGTTGACAGGTAAATTCAGGAAATTCAGAGAACCTCTGTGAGATACTACACAAGGTGACCATTCCCAAGACACATAGTCACCAGATTCTCCAAGTTCAATGCAAAAGGAGAAACCTTAAAGGAGCTAGAGAGAAGGGGCAGGTAAATTACAAAGGGAGCTACATTAGGTTAACAGCAGACCCTTTAGCAGAAACTCTACAAGTCAGAAGAGATTGGGGGCCTATATTTAGTATCCTAAAGGAAAAGAAATTACAACCAATAATTTCATATCCAGTCAAAGTAACTTTCATAAATAAAGGAGAAATAAAATCCTTTTGAGACAAGCAAATATAAAGAGAATTTATTACCACCAGACCTGCCTTACAAGAGGTCCTTATGGGAGTGCTAAACATAGAAACAAAAGATTAATATCTGCCACCACAAAAACACACTTAAGTACATAGCCCATTGACATTATGAAGCAACTATACAATCAAGTCCACATAATAACCAGTTCACAACATAATAACAGGATCAAATCCTCACATATTATTTATTGACTTTTCACTGGGCTAAGCATCCTACTTAAAAGACACAAAGTGAAAGGCTGGATGAAGAAACAAGACCGAACTGTCTGCTGTAAGAGACACATCTCACATGCAATTACACCCATAGATTCAAACTGCAGGAATGGAGAAGGATCTCTCAAGCAAATGGAAAACAAAAAAGAGCAGAGATTGCTATTCTTACTTCAGATGAAATAAACATTAAACCACCAATGGCCAAAGAAGATAAAGAAGGGCATTACATAATGAAAACAGATTCAATTCAACAAGAAGATTTAACTATTCTAAATATGTATGCACCCAACGTTGAGCACCCAGATTCCTAAAATAAGTTCTCAGATATCTACAAAGATATTTACCCACAAAATAATAATAGGAGGCTTCTACATCCCATTGTCAATGTTAGACACATTGAGTCAGAAAACTAACAAAGATATTCAGGACTGAAACTTGATGCTTGACCAAATGGGACTGACAGACATCAACAAAATATTCCATACAACGACCATAGAATATATATTCTTCTCATCTTCACAAAGCACATACTTTTAAGATTGAGCACACACTCATCCATAAAACAATTCACAAAAATTATAAAAAAAAAGGCAAACACACTCTAGGACCACAGCACAATAAAACTAAAAGTCAACACCAAGAAGATGTCTCAAAAGCATATAATTACATAAAAATTAAACAACCTGCTTCTGAATGATGTTTGGTTAAAATATGAAACTAAGGCAGAAATAAAAAAAAATACTTTGAAACTAATGAAAACAAAGACATAACATTCCAGAATCTCTGGGACACAGCTAAAGCAAAGTTAAGAGGAAAGTTTAAAGCATTAAATGCCTACATGAAGAAGTTGGACAGATATCAAATTAACAACCTAACATCATACTGAGAAGAATTAGAAAAATAAGAGCAAACCAATCTCAAAGCTAGCAGAAGAAAAGAAATAACCATAAAATCAGAGCTGAACTACATGAAATTGAGACATGAAAAAAACTATACAAAAGATAAAGAAAACTTAAAGATAGTTATCTGAAAGAAGAAAGAACATTGATAGACTGCTAGATAGATTAATAAAGAAAAAAGAGAGATCATCCAAATAAACAAAATTAGAAATAACAACAAAAATACAATAAAACACTTGGAGACTATTACAAACACCTCTATTCACACAAACTAGAAAACCTACAAGAAATGAATAAATTTCTGAAAACATACAACCTCCCAAAATTGTACTGGGAAGAAATTGAAACCATGAACAGACAAATAATGAGCTACAAAATTGAATCAGTAGTAAAAAATAAAAAAATACCAACCAAATGAAGCCCAGGACCAGACAGATTAACAGCTCAATTATACCAGACATAGACAGAAGAGCTAGGACTAATCCTACTGAAATTACTGCAAAAAATTTAGGAGGATGGAGGGACTTCTCCCTAACTTGTTTTATGAGGCCAGCATCATTTTGATACCAAATCCTAGAAGAGACAATCAATCAATCAATCAGTTAATAAAACTTCAGGCCAATGTTTCTGATGAACAAAGATGAAAAATATCCTCAATAAAATTCTATCAAACTGAATCCAACAGCACATCAAAAAGCTAATCCATGACAATCTACTGGGCTTTATTCCTGTGATGCAAGTTTGGTTCATCCTATGCCACTCAAAAAATGTGATTCATCACATAAATGGAACTAAAAAAAAAGACCACATGATCATCTCAATAGACACACAAAAGGCTTTCAATAAAACTGAACATCTCTTTATGTTAAAAACTGTCAGGAAACTAGGCATCAAAATACACACCTTAAAATAGTAAGAGCCATCTATGACATACCCACAGCCAACATCATACTGAATGGGTAAAAGTTGTAAGCATTTCCCTTCAGAACCATAACAAGATGATAATGCCTATTCTCACCACTGCTTTTCCACATAGTACTAGAAGTCCTAGTCAATGCGACAAGGCAATAAAAATAAATAAATGGCATCCAAATAGGAAGAGAAGTAAAAATGTCTCTCACTACAGTCTATATTATTCTATATTTTGATAAACCCATAGCTTCTGTCTTAAGGTTTCTACAACAGAAATAATTTCAATAACGTTTTAGGACACAAAATCAATGTAAAAAAATCAGTAATATTTCTATACACCAATTACATGCAAGCTGAGAGCCAAACCAAGAACACAATCCCATTTGCAATAGCCACAAGAAGAATTAAATACTAAGTGAGTGCAAAAGTAATTGCAGGTTTTGCATTGTTGGAATTTGCCGTTTGATATTTGAATACATTCTTAAATAAATTTGGTTATGTTATACATCATTTTAATGGGTATTTCCCACTTTGTGGGTTTTTCTTTTTTCACTTGCTGTTTAGTGTATGTCTATTTTAGACTATGGAAATGATATTAGACAAAAAGCAAATTTGAGTGGTTTTTTAATTCAAATTCAAAATGGAATGTAAAGCAGTGGAGACAAGTCGCAACATCACCAACATATTTAGCCCAGGAACTGCTCAAGAACATACAGTGCAGTGGCGGTTCAAGAAGTTTTGCAAAGAAATTGAGAGGCTTGAAGATGTGGAGCTCAGTGGCCAGCCGCCAGAAGTTGACAGTGACAAATTAAGAGCAATCATCGAAGCTGATACTTTTACAACTACAAGAGAAGATGCCGAAGAACTCAATGGTCAATGTTGACCATTCTATGGTCATTCAGATTTGAAGAAAATTGAAAAGTTGAAAAAGCCCAGTAAGTGGGTGTCTCATGAGCTGAGCTGAGGGACCATTACAATCAACACATTTTTGCCAGTGAAAAATAGGTTTGTTTATTCTTGTAGCATAAAAATCCATGCTTCAGGGTTAGATGAACTCTTCAAAAGCATTTTTTGCTTCCTGCTGGTTTTGGAAGCAAATCCCTGCAGAACGCTGTCGAGATTGTTGAAGAAGTAGTAGTCAGTTGGCAAGAGGTCCAGTGAATGTGATGAATGAGGCAAATTTTGTGGCCAAATTCCTTCAACTTTTGTAGTGTTGGTTGTGTGATGTGCAGTGGGGCATTGTCCTGGAGAAGAATTGGGCCTTTTCTGTTGACCAATGCTGACCACAGGCATTGTAGTTTGTTCAAGTTTCTTATAGATCTGGATATTTGACTTCTTTCAGATGTATCGTTTGCAAATATTTTCTCCGATCCTCTGTGCTTTCTGTGTACTCTGTTTATATTTCCTTTTTCTGTGCAGAAGCTTTTTGGTTTGATTGGGTCCACTTGTCTATTTTCATTTTTGCAGCAATTGTTTTCAGGGACTTCATTGTGAAATATTTGTCAAGGCCTATGTCCAGAATGGTATTTCCTAGGTTTTCCTTTAGAGTTTTAACATAATTAGGTATTACATTTAAGTCATTATTCCATTTTAATATTTGTATATGTTTCCTATTTTGATTAATAAAGACATGCTTGAGCCTAGATATAATGATTTAAAATTCATGTTCCGAAAGTGCAATTACTTTTATACAAACTAAATATATGGGAATAAAAAATAAACAGTAATTTGAAAGATCTCTACAATGAGAATTACAAAACACTGCTGAAATAAATCAGAAATAATACAAACAATTGGAAATACGTTCCATGCTCATGGATAGGAAGAATCAATATTGTTAAAATGGCCATACTGCCCAAAGAAATTTACTGATTTGATTCCTACCAAACTGTCAAAGTCATTTTTCACAGAATTAGAAAAAATGTATATATTCTCAAATTCTGAGGGAATCAAAAAAGAGCCCAAATAGCCAAAGCAATCCTATGTTTCGGTACTGATACAGAAACAGACACATAGACCAATGGAACAGGTTTGAGAACCCAGAAATTAAGCTACAAACCTACAACCATCTGATTTTTTATGAAGTCAACAATGACGACATTGAAAAGAGGACTCTGTTCAACAAATGGTGCTGAGAAAAAAAATAAGCTAGTTACATGCAGAAGATTTTAACTAGATCCCTTCCTTTCACCTTTTACAAAAATTAAAATGGAATAATGACTTAAATGTAAGACCTAAATCTGTTAAAACACTAGAGGAAAACCTAGGAAATACCATTCTGAACATAAGTATTGACAAAGATTTTACAATGAAGTCCCCAAAAACAGTTGCAACAAAAACAAAAATAGACAAGTGGGACCCGATTAAACCAAAGAGCTTCTGCACAGAAAAAGAAAATATCAAAGAAAATGATGCCTGTAATTCTAGAATTTTGGGAGGCTGAGGTGGGTGGATCACCTGAGGTCAGGAGTTCGAGATCAGCCTGACCAACATGGTGAAACCCCATCTCTACTAAAAATACAAAAAAATTAGCTGGGCGTGGTGGCGCTGCACTCCAGTCCGGGTGACAGAGCAAGACTCTGCCTCAAAAGAAAGGGAAAAAGAGAGAGAGAGAGAGAGGAAGAAAAAGAGAAAGAAAGAGAAAAACAAGCACAGAAAAAAAGGAGAAAATATTTGCAAATGATACATCTTAAAGAAGTCTAATATCCAGAATCTATAAGAAACATGAACAAATTAGCAAGCAAAAATTAAATGAACCTGTTGAAAAAAGAGCAAGGATATGAACAGACACTTCTCAAAAAAATACATACACATGGCCAACAAGCATATGAAAAAGATGCTCAAGACCATTAATAATTAGAGAGGCGTACATAAAAACCACAATGAGATACCGTGTCATACCAGTCATAATGGCTATTATTAAAAAGTAAAGAAACAAAACAAATCATATGTTAGTGAGGTTATGGATAAAAGGGAATGCTTATACACTGCTGATATGAATGTAAATTTGTAGATTTGTCAAAGAACTTAAAATGGAAATACCATTTGACTCAGAAATCCCATTACTGGGTATACATCCAAAGGAATATAAATCATTCTAACCAAAAGACATATGCATTCATTATATTCATTGCAGCACTCCTCACAGTAGCACAGTCATGGAGTCAATCTAGATGCCCATCAAAGACGGACTGGATAAAGGAAGTGTAGTACATATACAGCATGGTATACTACTCAGCCATTAAAAATAAAATAAAATCATGTAATTTGCAGCAACATGGATGGCTCTGGAGGCTATTATCCTAAGTGAATTAACACAGAGACAGAAAATCAAATACTACATGCTCTCACTTATAAACGGGAGCTAAGTGTTGAGTACACATGGACATAAAGACGGAAACAATAGAAACTAGGGCCTACTTGAGTGGGGAGGTTGAGAGGAGGGTGGGAGTTAAAACAACTATTTATTGAATACTATACTCATTACCTGGGTGACACAATGATTTGCGTATCAAATCCTAGCAACATGAAATCTACCCATGTAACAAACCTGTACATTTACTCCCTAAACCTAAAATAAAATTTGAAAACAGCAAAACAAACAAACAAACTAGACAATATTAAGGAGAAGTGGTCAGAGAGTCAGCCTTGTTTTTTTTTCCCTACCCTTAGATGGGTGGAAGGAGATGCATTAATAGCTGCACCATTAAAAATTATGTCACTATTAAGTTTCTCAGAATGACATTGATCAATATGGGGGAATTCCCAACTGTTTCTAATTCGGTGACGGTTATTACCCGGAACGTATGTTGGTATTTTCACATGGTTTTCCTGCTTCTATTGAGAAAATTTAATGTTTTTTCACTTCTAATCTATTAATATATTGTATTAAATTGACTTATCTTTAAATGCTAAACCAACTTGCATTTCTGGCATAAACCTCATGTTTTATATACTGTTGTAATTGATTTCCTAAATTTTGTTAAAAATCTGTTCATTCATTTTCTGGGGAATATTATATATTAGTTTGCTTGTCTTGTAATACATTTGCCTGCTTTTGGTACTATCGTAATACTGATATACACAGTAATTTGAGAGGCATTTCAATCTATTCTATTTTCTGGAGGAGGTGGCATAGAATTTCATCAGTTTTTTTTTCAGTGTTAGTGGATTCTACAATTGGCTCTGTCTGTCTCTGTTTCTTTGTAGAAAGATCTTTAACTCAAATTCAATATTTAAGAAATAATAGGGCGATTCTTACAATGTTTTCATTTTTGACTGAGAATGTGTTGCCTGAGTGAAAAACCAACAATACAAATAGCATGATATTAGAGGATTCTAGAATAGCACTTCAAGTATGGTCCACTTCAACTAAAACATAATTCAGATTAAAAATAAGTACATAACATAAAATTGTAGTATATTTTGTCACACATATAATCCTTAATAAATTAAAATAAATATAAATTAATTGAAGAAATATTAATAAAATATCAAATAATAAGTTATTTGAAGGCCTAGCACAATGGCTCATGCTTGTAATCCCAGTGCTAGGGCCAAGGTGGGGGCATCACTTGAGTCCAGGAGTTTAAAACCATCCTGGGCAACATGGTGAGACCATGTGTCTACAAAAAGTATTTTAAAATATTATTCAGGCATGGTGTTGCATGCTTGTAGTCTCAGTTACTCAGGAGGCTTAAACGGGAGTATTGCTTGAGCCCAGGAGTTTGAGGCTACAGTAAACTATAATTGTGCCACTGCACTCCAGCCTGAGTGACAGAGTGAGCAAACCGTGTTTCTTAAAACAAAGAAAAAGTTATTTGAAACAACACAGGGATGTTGCCTTACAACTCTGCTATTTAACATTGTACTGTAATTTCTAGCCACAGCATTTTCAAAAGAAAAATAAATCAAAGTCCTACAAACTGAAGAGGAAGATAAAAAACTATTCTGTTCACAGATGGCACATTTCTCTATATAGAAAATTCGAATTAACATACAAGAGAGCCACTAGAGATGATAAACAAATTCAGCATCAGCAATGTGGCATGGTATAAGATCAATACACAAAAATCAGCAGTGTTTCTATATACCTGCAATGAAAAATCCAAAAAAGAAATTAAGAAAGCAATTCCATTAACAGTAGCATAAAAAGAACAAAATACCTATGGATAAATATATGTAGGAAGGTAAAAGAATTGCACACTAAAACCTACAAAACATGCCTGAAAGAAATTAAATATCTAAATAAATGAAGAGACAGCTTATGAAGTGAAAGTCTTAGCATTGTTAAAAAGGTCATACTACCCATAAAAATCTACAGACCAATAAATTCCTACCAAAATTCCAATAGCTTATTTTGGGTAGAAATGGAAAAAACAATCCTCAAATTCATATGGAATTCAAGGGCCCCAAACAACTAAAATAACCTAGAAAATGAATGACAAATTCGGAATACTTATACTTCCTTATTTCAAAACTTGCTACAAACCTACAGTGATCAAACCAGTGTGGTACTCGCATAAGTATAGATAGATGAACGAATAGAAGCAATAGCCTGGAAATAAAATAGTGCATCTACGGTCAGTTTTCCACAGGATGCCAAGACCATTCAACGGAGAAGAAATATTCTCATTAGCAAATTGTGCTGGAACTAAAAAGAAATCTGCACGTAAAAAAATGAATAACTTTGGACCACTACCTGATATCATAAACACACACACACACACACACACACGGAAAAAAAAACTCAAAATAGGTTAATATAAATGTTAGACCTAAAACTGTAAAAACAAACAAACAAACAAACAAACAAAAAACCTTAGCAAAACCAAGGGTTAAATAATCAGGACCTTGGATGGTGCAGTAGATATTTAGATATGAGACAAAAAGTACAAGATAAGAGAGAGAGAGAGTGAGAGAGAGCAAGAAAGAGAGAGAGAAATAGAACTAATAAAAATAAAAAAGTTGTGGGCATTGAAGGGCATTATCAAGAAAATGAAAAGATAACCTACAGAATAGGTGAAAATATTTCAAATGTTTAAAGGTCTAATATCCACAATATATCCATTTCTCCTAATAAGATACACAAGTGATATGGTTTGGGTGTGTCCTCACCAAAATCTCATTTTGAATTGTAATCCCCATAATCCCCATGTGTCTAGGGGGGGTTCTGGTGGGAGACAATCAGATCATGGAGTGGTTCCCGCATGTTGTTCTCATGATAGCGAGTGAGTTCTCACGAGATCTGATGGTTTTATAAGTGTCTGGCATTTCCCTTGTTTGTACTTCTCTCTCTTGCCACCCCTTTGCCTTCTGCCATGATTCTAAGTTTCCTGAAGCCTCCCCAGCCAGATGGAACTGTGAATCAATTAAACCTCTTTCCTTTATAAATTACTCACTCTCATGTATTTCTTTATAGTAGTGTGAAAATGGACTAACACAACAGGTAACCACCAAACATTTGAAAAAATGCTTATGGTTATTAGTCATTAAAGAAATGCAAATCAAAACTGCATTTAGATACCACTCTACACCCGCTAGCATCATTGTAATTAATAAAACATAAATAAACGTACAAAAGCCCAGAATTTAACAAGTGTTGGCAAGAATGCAGAGAAATTACAAACTTTGTACATTATAGCTGGGAATGTAAAATTGTTTAGCCATTAAGAAAGCAAAAAGGAGTTATTTTCAAAAAAAGTAAACAGATAATTACATACGACCCAGCAATTCCACTTTGAGATATGCAACCCCCCAAATTGAATACACATACTCAAGCAAACACATGTGTATACAACTTCCAAAACCAATGTTCACAATAGCCAAAAGATGAAAACAAACCAAATGCCTATCAACGGATGAATGGATAAAAACATTATATGTAACTGCATGGCATATTATTCAGCCTTTAAAAATAATAAGATATTGATTCATATTTCAATATTTACTTCCCAGTTGGAAGACAGAAGCAGGAATCAGGTTTAGCTATAAACAGGCAGTTCAGCATAAGCCTCCCTGGTGAATGTATTTAAAAAATAACAAAGCAGATTTGAAAGCTCTGGGATAGACGGTTTAGCATTTATTTTGGAGAATTGCATTCCTGGCAGAGTACAACTAGAATAAGGGTTACACTTCTCCGAAATGTTGGAGAAACTCTATAGAAGTTATGTGGCTTAAGGGTTGTGTTCAACTGGCAGAGCAGTAGGATATATTACCTCAGTGTTTTCAGGAAGCCAGATAAGTAGATAATTTTTGGTCATTTTAAGGACTTCATTTTTATTGAGAAAGGGGATCCACGATAAGATTTCAACGGAGGATGGAAATTATCAAACTGATATTTAAATGGATTAGTCTACTAATGTACAGTTGACAAAAAGGCAAACATAGAAAAATCAAGACTCTGGGTAAAAACAGAAGCGTTTGTTTGACTTTGATCAGGCGAGGTGGTGAAACATGGTCAGATTGTGCATAGATTGCAGGCAGCATTTTAATGTGTTGTGAAAGGACATCAAGAATAATTCTGTGTTTATCAGCCTGAGCATCTGTATGGCTTGAGTTACCATGAACTGAGATGTGAAAAACTTGCAGATGGATTAAATAGTGTGAAGGAGTATCAAATTATTATAAATTGAAAAAATATATCACTCTAAAGCTTATGGACTTTTCTCTATCAAATTATCACTTATTTACTTAAATATATTACTATTAATCATAGAACTCTAGAAATTTTAGGTCTTATATATGAATTCACAAGTCTTATTGTGATCTTCAATAAATAAATCTTTCTTTCACAATAATGCTATACTTAGGAGTAATTTTTTTTGCCATATTTGAAAGTGAGGATGATACATCACTCCAAGTTTTCTTTTTCAAAGAAAGATAAGCAGTATTCATGGAATAACTTATATTCTTCAGTCTTCTCTAGGTCAGTATCATGACCCATTGTGAGAGGTGCAGCCTTATGCCATAAAAGAGTTTCTTTATTTTTGGGAACTTCTATATTAAACCTGCTTCAAACATTTATTAATCAATTGATCACCATGTCAAACGTGTTTAGGAAATTGTATTAACTCCCGTCTTACATTCCTAAAAGATACAGACTTTTAAAATGTCACAAAATTGTGTCTTTTGTGAGCACAAAACATTTAGGTCTAAATAAACCACAAAAAAATAAGGAAAATAAAAAATAAATACTCTGCATTAGCACACTCCAGGGAATTTTTGCTCATTCCAATGGCTAAACATGCATCAAGAAACAGCACTCTAGGGTTGTTTCAGCCTAGAACATAGTTCACAGAGTTTACTCAACGACAGACAAGCCTTAACTTGGACAAATAAAGTGAAATAGCCTTTTCCTCCCATCTATATCCTAGATGGAACCCTACAGAAATGAAAAGTTAAAGAGTTACTGGATTTGGTATTGTGCAACCAATGAGAAAAACTTTTTCACTGGCTTTTGGTCTTCTGAATACTAACTTCAAAAGTAACTGAAATGTATTCAAATACAATTTTAAAGATCAAATATAGCAGCCAAAGAGAATAAATATTAATCACTGAGAATTAAAAATTCAACTGAAAAAAGAATGGATTTGAGTAAGATATAACATAACATTATTGTGTTTTGTATGGCATGGAGATTAAAGAGTAGAGAGTATAATATTTATAAAGATGCATTCATTCTCATAATTTTTAAAATAAATTTATCATTTTGTAGAATGCTTTCTATAATAGGGAGTATTGTGCTCATACCATCTGCCTTGTGACCACATGCAAATTAAAGAGAAAACTATTAAGAGACATTAATATTATATTTGCATTATATAACTCTTCACTATCCCCTCATTTAAAGAGAAGCCAGTCTACAAAACTTTCAAAGTGCATACAGAATGATTGACAGTGATGTAAAAATAATATATTTATATTATATTTATAGTTTCTTTGTCTGACAGAAAGACAAAACATCTGTACTAATATGTGAAATTTTGGATTACCACTAACAGCAAGAAAGGTGACACTACCCTGCATATTATGAACTGTGTGGTAGGGTAAAAAATGACTCCAGTAAAGATGTCTTACATACTTCCACCTGGAACCATGAGTGTTACCTTATATTGTAAAATCTTTGCAATCACATATATTTTTTCTAAGAGCAAGTCACAGCGGGGCTGCCATCTTTCTGATGGTTTATGAGAGAAATTCATTGCATGCTTTTTCCAGTTTCTGGTGTCCACAGGCATTCTTTGGCTTCATGCTAATCTTCCAGGCCAGGATCTTCAAATCTCTCTATGTTCTGTCTTCACATTAACTTCTCCTCCATGTATGTCCAATTCTGCCTGTGCTTTGCGTTTATGAGGATACATGTGATTGCAGTGAGAAACCTCCTGGATAAGCCAGCTTAATCTTCCCACCTCAAAATCATTTTGGTAAAATTGTAGCACAGAGGAATCATTGTGCATTCCCATTGTTTCAAACATTATATATTTTTGGTATGTGTATTTATCTAAGTTGTATATTTATTTATTTACTTAGTTGATTTTGTGAGCACAATTTTTCTTAGTACTTCATGAATATAATTCAAACCTAAATAGAAATATAATACAAAGTTTATTTTTCGTTGTAATAGGGACTTAATTTCAACACTTTTTATTAAAAAAGCCTTTTTAAAATAAAAAAAGATAATTAAAATAAAAAAAGAGGGCTCAAATATATGCTGTTCCTAAGAGACTCACTTTACATTTAGGACACATGAAGAATGAAAGTGAAAGAATGAAAAACAGATATTTTATGCAAATGAAACCAAAAGACAGCAAGAGTAGCTATTTTTTTTTTTTTTGTATTTTCAACTTTTAAGTTCAGGCACACATGTGTAGGATGTGCAGGTTTGTTACATAGGTAAAGCTGTGCCACCGTGGTTTGCTGCACAGATCATTCCATCACCTAGGCATTAAGCCCAGTATCCATTAGCTATTCTTCCTGATGCTCTCCCTCCTCCAACTCCCCATCTCTGACAGGCCCCACATTGTGTGTTGTTTCCCCCCATAATGTTTGGCTCTGTGTCCCCACCCAAATCTCATCTCAAATTGTAATCCACACCTGTCAAGGGTAGGACCCGGTGGGAGGTGATTAGATCCTAGGGGCAGTTTTCCCCATGCTGTTCTCATGATAGTGAGGATGTTCTCATGAGACCTAGTTGTTGGATTACTGTTTCACATTTCCCCTTCAAATACTTTCTCTCGCCACCATGTAAGATGTGCCTTGCTTCCCCTTTGCCTTCTGTCATGATTGTAAGTTTCCTGAGGCCTCCCAGCCATTTGAAACTGTGAGTCAATAAGACTTTCTTTTTTATAAATTACCCAGTCTCGGGTAGTATCTTTAAGGTAGAATGAAAGTAGACTAATACAGAGAACTGGTACCAAGTGTGGGGTACACCTATAAAGATAACATGGATATGTGGAAGTGACTTTGGAACTTGGTAATGAAAAGAGGTTGGAACAGTTTGGAGGGCTTAGAAGAAGACAGGAAAATGTTTGAAATTTCGGAGCATCCTAGAAATTTCTTGAATGATTGTAACCAAAATGCTGTTAGTAATAGGGACAATGAAGTCCGGGCTGAGGTGGTCTCAGAAGAAGATGAGGAACTTATTGGGAACTAAAGAAAAGGTCACTCATTCTACGCTTTAGCATTTTACCCCCCTCTAGAGATCTGTGAAACTTTAAACTTGAGAGAGATAATTTGAGTTATCTGATGAAAGACATTTCTAAGCAGCGAAGCTTGCAAGATGTGACCTGGCTTATTCTAAAAGTGTTCAGTTGCATGCATTCACAAAGAGATGGTTTAAAATTGGAACTTATATTTAAAAAGAAGCAGAGCATAAAGGATTGGAAAATTTGCAGGCTGACCATGTGGTAGAAAAGAAAAACCCATATTCTGGGGAGAAATTCAAGCTAGCTGCAGAGATTCACATAAGAAATGAGGAGCTGAATGCTATTAGCCAAGATGGTGGGGGAAATGTCTCCAGGGCATGTCAGAGACCTTCATGGCAGCCCCTCCCATCACAGGCCCGGAGGCCTACGAAGGAAAAATGGCTTTGTGGACTGGACCCAGGGCCCCAATTCTCTGTGCAGGACTTGTTGCCCTGCATCCCGGCTAATCAAACTCTAGCCTTGGCTAAAAAGGCCCATGGTACAGCTTAGGCCATTGCTTCAGAGGGTGCAAGCCTCAACCCTTGGTGGCTTCCATGTGATATTGGGCCTTCAGGTGCTCAGAAGACAAGAGTTGAGATTCCATAGCCTCTGCCTTGATGTCACAGGATGTATGGAAATGACTGGATGTCCAGGTAGAAATTTGTTGCAGGGTCAGAGCCCTCACAGAGAACCTCTGTTAGGGAAGTGCAGAAGGAAAATATAGGGTTGGATCCCCCACACAGAGTCCTCATTGGGGCACTGAGTAGTGGAGCTGTGAGAAGACGGCCACTGTCCTCCAGATCTCAGAATGGTAGATTCATCTACAGCATGCCCTGAGCACCTGAAAAAGTCATAGGAACTCAACACCAGCCCCTGAAAACAGCCAATGGGGATTTACTCTGCAGAGCCACAGGGGTGGAGCTTCCCAAGGCTGTGGGAGCTCGTCCCTTGAATCAACATGCCCTGAATGTGAGAAATGAGGTCAAAGGAGATTTTGGAGCTTTAAGTTATAATGACTACCCAGTCAGGTTTCAGACTTGAATAGGGCCTGTTGTTCCTCTTTTTGGCCAATTTCTCCCATTTGGAGCAGGAACATTTACCCAATGCCTATAGCTCCATTGTATCTTGCAAGTAACTAACTTGTTTTTGATTTTACAGGATCATAGTGGAAAATGACTCGCCTTGTCTCTGATGATACTTTAAACTTGGACTTTTATTAAATATCAGTTAATGCTGGAATGAGTTAAGAATCTGAGGAACTGTTGGGAAGGCATAATAGGTTTTCAAATGTTAAAAACAAACACACACCGATATATGGGAGAGGCAAGAGGCAGAATGATATGGTTTGGCTGTGTGTCCCTAGCTGAATCTCATCGCATCTTGAATTGTAACCCCACATGTTAACGAAGACATGTAGTGGGAGGTAATTGTGTCATAGAGGCATTTTCCCCCATGCTCTCCTCATCATAGCCAGAGAGTTCTCACAAGACCTAGTTGTTTGATAAGGGTCTGGCATTTCCCATGCACTCTTTCTCCTTCCTGGCAACATGGTCAGAAGTGCCATGCTTCTCCTTCACCTTCCACCATGATTGGAAGGAAACTGAGAGGTTTCCTGAAACCTCTCAGCCATGCAGAACTGTGAGTCAAACCTTCTTTCTTTATAAATTACCCAATCTCCAATAGTATGTTTGTATCAGTATGAAAACACTCCTTATGTGTCCATCTGTTCTCATCATTCATCTCCCACTTATAAGCGATAACTCGTGGCATTTGTTTTTCTGTTTCTGTGTTAGTGTGTTGAGGATAATGGCTTCCAGCTGCATCCATGTCTCTGCAAGAAACATAACCTTGGTCCTTTTCATTGCTGTATAGTATTGCATCCTGTTTATGTACAAAATTTTCTTCATCCAGTCTATCACTGATGGGGATTTAGGTTGATTCTGTCTTTCCTATTGTAAATAGTGCTGCAATGAACATATATGTGCATGTATCTTTAAAACAGAATAATTTATATTCCTTTGGGTATATACTCAGTATTGGGATTGCTGGTAAAATGATACTTCTGCCTCTGTGTCTTTGAGGAACTGCCACACTGTCTTCCATAATGGTTGAACTAATTTCTACTTCCACCAACAGTGTAAAAGTTGTTTGTTGGCTTGTTCCCCCACAACCTTGCTAATGTCTGTTGTTTTTTGACTTTTTATCATAGCCATTGTAAGTGGTGTGAGATGGTATCTGATTTTGGTTTTGATTTGCATTTATCTAATATTCAGTGATGCTGAGCTTTTTTCCATATCTTTGCTGGTCACATATATGTCTTCTTTTGAAAAGTGTCTGTTCATGTTCTGTTCCCACTTTTTAATGGGACTGTTTTTTTCTTGTAAATTTGTTTAAGTTCCTTATACATGCTGGATATTAGACCTTTTTTAGATGGATAGATTGCTAAAATTCTCTCTCATTCTGTAGGTTGTCTGTTAACTCTATTGATAGTTACTTTTGCTGTGCAGAAGTTCTTTAATTTAATTAGATTCCATTTGTCAATTTTGCTTTGGTTTTCCATTGCTTTTGGCATTTTTCTCATAATTTCTCATCTTTCCCTGTGACTATGTCCTGAATGGTATTGCCTAGATTTTCTCTAGGTTTTTTATACTTTTTGATTTTACATTTAAGTCTTTAATCCATCTTGAGTTGATATTTGTATACGGTGTAAAGAAGGGGTCCAGTTTCAATTTTTTTGCATATGGCTAGTCAGTTCTCCCAGTACCATTTATTTAGCAGGGAATCCTTTCCCTATTGTTTGCTGTTTTTTTTTTTCAGGATTTTTGGAGATCAGATGATTGTAGGTGTGTGGTCTTATTTCTGGGTTTTCTATTTTGTTCCATCGGTCTATTGTCTGTTCTTGTACCAGTACTAATTGTTTTGGTTACTGTAGCCCTGTAGTGTAGTTAGGAAATGGCTGATGTGATGCTGCTAGCTTTGTTCTTTTTACTTAGGATTGTCTTGGCTATTCAGGTTCTTTTTTGGTTCCTTATAAATTTTAAAATAGGTTCTTCTAATTCTGTGAAGAATGTCAATGGTAGTTTAATGGGAATAGCGTTGAATCTCTAAATTGCTTTGGGCAGTATGATCTTTTCACAATATTGATTCTTCTTATTCATGAGCATGGAATGTTTTCCCATTTGTTTGTGTCATTTCTAATTTATTTTAGCAGTTGTTTGTTATTCTCCTTGTAGAGGTCCTCCACTTCCCTTCTTAGCTGTATTACTTGGTATTTGTGTGTGTGTGCATGTGTGTGTGTGCATGTATGTGTGTGTGTTTGGCAATTGTGAATGAGAGTTCATTCATGCTTTCGCTCTCTGCTTGCCTGTTGTTGGTGTATAGAAATGCTAGCAATTTTTTTTTTTTTTTTTTTTTTTTGAGACAGAGTCTCACTCTGTCTGCCAGGCTGGAGTGCAGTGGCACAATCTTGGCTCACTGCAACCTCTGCCTCCTGGGCTCAAGCAATTCTCCTGCCTCAGTCTCCTGAATAGCTGGGATTACAAGTGTGTGCCACCACACCCAGCTAATTTTTGTATTTTTTTTAGGAGAGACAGGGTTTCACCTTGTTGGCCGGGCTGGTCTCGAACTCCTGACCTCAGGTAATCCTCCCACCTCAGCCTCCCAAAATGCTGGGATTACAGATGTGAGCCACCATGCCTAGCCAATGCTAGCAATTTTTGCACATTGATTTTGTATCCTGAGAATGCTGAAATTGCTTATGAGCTTAAGAATTTTGGGCCAGAAATGATGGGATTTTCTAGCTATAATATGTCATCAGCAAAAAAAGATAGTTGATTTCCTCTCTTTCTATTTGAATACCATTTATTTTCTTCTCCTGTCTGATTGCTCTTGCCAGAACTTCCAATATCATGTTGAGTAAGAGTGGTGAGAGAGGGCATCCTTTTCTTGTGCAGGTTTCCAAGGAGAATACTTCCAGCTTTTGCCCATTCTGTATGATATTAGCTATGGGGTTTTTATATACGGCTATTAGTTTGAAGTATATTCCTTCAATATCTAGTTTATTGAAAGTTTTTAACATGAAGGGATGTTGAATTTTATAAAAACATTCTCTGCATCCATTGAAATAATCATGTGGTTTTTCTCTTTAGCTCTGTTTATGTGATTAATCACATTTATTGATTTGCATATGTTGAACCAAACTTGCATCCTGGAGACGAAGCCTACTTGATCCTGGTGGATAAGCTTTTTGATGTGCTGCTGGATTCAATTTGTTAGTATTTTGTTGAGGATTTTTGCATCGATGTTAATCAAAGGTATTGGCCTGAAGTTTTCTTTTTTCTGTTGTTGTATCTCTGGCAGGTTTTTTCTTCATCAGGATGATGCTGGACTCATAAAATGAGTTAAGGAGAAGTCCCTCCTTTTCAATTTTTTGAAATAGTTTCAGTAGAAATGGCATGAGCTCTTATTTGTACCTCTGGTAGAATTCAGCTGTGACTCTGTCTGGTCCTGAGCTTTTTTTGGTTGGTAGGCTATTTTACAGCCTCATTATCTGAACTCAGTATTAGTTTATTCAGGGATTCCATTTCTTCCTGATTCAGTCTTGGGAGGGTGTATGTGTCCAGGAATTTATCCATTTCTTTTATATTTTCTAGTTTGCGTGCATAGAGGTGTTAATAGTATTTTCTGATGGTTGTTTGTATTTCTGTAGGGTGAGTGGTAATATCCCCTTATCATTTCTATTGTGTTTATTTGAATCTTCCCTCTTTTCTTCTTTATTCTTCTAGCTACTGGTCTATTTTTTTTTTAATTTTTTGAAAAACCACCTTCTGGATTTATTGCTGTTTTGATGGTTTTTTGTGTTTCTGTCTACTTCGGTTTAGGTCTAATCTTGGTTATTTCTTGTCTTCTGTTAGCTTTGGGGTTTGTTTGCTCTTGGTTCTCTAGTTCTTTTAGTTGTGATCTTAGGTTGTCTATTTGAGATCTTTCTAGCTTTTTGATGTGGACATTTAGTGTTATAAATTTCCCTCTTAATACTGCTTTAGCCATGTCCCAGAGATTCTGGTATATTGTATCTTTGTTCTCATTAGTTTCAAATAACTTCTTGATTTCTGCCTTAATTTCATTATTTACGCAAATGTCATTCAGTAGTAAGTTGTTCAATTTCCATGCAGTTGTATGATTTTAAGTGAATTTCTTAATCTTGAGTTCTAATCTGATTGTGCTGTGATCCAAGAAACTGTTATTATTTCAGGTATTTTGCATTTGCTGAGTAGTGTTTTACTTTCCAATGATGTGATCAATTTTAGAGTAAGTGCCATGAGGGAAAGAAAATAATGTATATTATTTTGCTGTGGGGTGGAGAGTTCTGTATATATCTATCAGGTCCCCTTGATCTAGAGCTGAGTTCAGGTCCTGAATGTCATTGTTAATTTTCTTTCTCCATGATTTGTCTAATATTGTCAGCAGAGTATAAAAGTCTCCCACTATTATTGTGTGGGAGACTAATTTTCTTTGAAGGTCTCTAAGAAGTTGATTTATGAATCTGGGTGCTACTGTATTGGGTGCATATATATTTAGGATCGTTAGATGTTATTGTTGAATTGAATACTTTACCATTATGTAATACCCTTCTTTATCTTTTTGTGATCTTTGCTGGTTTGAAGTCTGTTTTTTCAGAAACCAGGATTGCAACCCCTGCTTTTCTCTGTTTTCCATTTGCTTGGTAAATTTTCCTCCATCCATTTATTTTGAGCCCATGTGTTTCTTGGCATGTGAGGCGGGTCTCTTGAAGACAGTATAGCAATAGATCTTAGTTCTTTATCCCAATTGTCATTCTGTGTCTTTTAATTGGGACATTTAGCCAATTTACATTTAAGGTTAGTATTGTTAAGTGTGTATTTGATCTAGTCATCATGATGCTAGCTGGTTATTTTGCAGACTTGTTTATGTAGCTGCTTTATAATGATACCAGTCCGTGTACTTCAGTGTGTTTTTTGTAGTGGTTGATAATGATATTTCCCTGCTGCACCCCCCTGCCTTCCGGTATTTACTGCTTCCTCCAGGAACTCTTTCATGGCAGGTCTGGTGGTAATTAATTCTCTCAGGATTTGTTTGTCTGAAAAGGATCTTATTTCTCCTTCACATATGAAGCTTAGTTTCCCAAGATATGAAAATTGGGTTGAAAATTCTTTTCTTTAGAATGTTGAATACTGACCCCCAATCTCTTCTGACTTGTTGAGTTTTTGCTGAGATGTTCGCTGTTAGTCTGATGGGCTTTCCTTTGTAGGTGTCCTGGCCTTTCTCTCTGGCTTCCCTTAACATTTTGTCTTTCATTTTGACCTTGTAGAATCTGATGACTATTTGTCTTGTGAGAGATCTTCAAGTGGAGTATCTTACTGGGGTCCTCTGCATTTCCTGAATTTGAATGTTGGCCTTTATTGTTAGGTTAAAGAAGTTCTCCTGGATTATATCCTGAAGTACGTTTTCCAAATAGGTTCCACTCTCTCCATCCTTTTCAGGTACTCCAATTAGTCATAGGCTCTGTTTCTTTACATAATTCCATATTTCTTAGAGATTTGGTTCATTCATTTTAATTTTTTTTTCTCTATTCTTGTATATCTGTCTTATTTCAGAAAGACAGTCTTCAAGCTCTGAGAATCTTTCCCCTATTATTGGCCTATTATGCTATTAATACTTGTGATTGCATAGTGAAATTCTTGTAATGTGTTTCTCAGCTCTATCAGGTTGGTTGGTTTTGTCTCTCTAAACTAACAATTTTGGCTCTCAGCTTCTCTATTGTTATATCATGATTCTTAGCTTCTTTGCCTTCAGTTACAAAATGTTCCTTTAGCTCAGCAAAGTTCGTTTTTATCCACATTCTAAAACCTACTTATGTTATTTCAGCCATCTCAGCCTCAGTTCAATTCTGAGCTCTTGCTTGGAGGGCTGTTGCAATCATTTGGAGAAAAAAGGGGCACTCTGGCTTTTTCAGTTTTCAGCATTTTTCCATTGATTCTTTCTCATCTTTGAGGGCTTATCTCCCTTCAATCTTTGAAGTTGCTGCCCTTTGAATGGGTTTTTGTTGGATTGTTTTGTTGATGTTGTTGTTGTTTCCTGTTTATCTGTTTTTCTTTTAACAATCTGGCCTCACCTCTGTAAAGCTGCTGCTGTTTGCTGGGGGCTTGCTCCAGACCCTAGTTGCCCAGTTTTTCCTGTACCTGGAGATATCAGCAGTGAAGCTTGTGAAACAGCAAAGATGGCAGCTCACCCCTTCCTCTGGATGCTTCATCCCAGGGTGGTACTGATTTGTTGCTGGCCCCTGTGCTCCTGTAGGAGGTGGCTTGAAACCGTGATTGGGAGGTCTCACCCAGTCAGGGGAACAGTATTAGGGATTCACTTAGAGAAGAAGTTTGGCTGCTTTTTTGGTAGAGTAGCTCTACTGTGTTGGGGATCTCTTCTGCCCCCAATCTGTTTGGGCTCTCCAAGGCCCACAGGCTTGACTGGATGAGAAGCCAGAGCAGCCAAGTGGCAGCCTGCCCCACGCCCCAGGCAATCCAACCCAGGGAGAATGTAGAGCTCTGTAGGCCATAGAATATTGAAAAGGGTGACTTGAAGCCCTTGCTGGGAGAACCTGCCCCATGAGAAGTAGTGAATCTGTGTCTCACTTAAAGAAACAGTCTGGCCAGACCTTGATAAGACAACAATGTTGTTCTGAATAACCACCTTTGCCCCATCAGCTAGGAGTCCCCAAAATCCACAGATTGGAATGGCTAAGTCATTCAATCAGCCAAGGCGGTGGTGCTTCCCTCTCCTGGGCACTGCATCCCAGGGAGAGATCAGAGCTCTATCTGTAGAATACGTGTAGAATACTTCCTGGAGGGCCCTCCCGGAAGTTTTCACCCAGTGAGGAGGAATGGATCAGGGTCCCACTTAAAGAAGCAGTCTGGCCATGACCTGGCAAAGCAGATGTGCTGCTCTGGAGGAACCCTTCCTAATCCGAATCACTTGGAGTCTCCAAAGCCCACAGTCTGGAATGTCTGAGTAAACCAAACAGAGGAGATGGTGGTCTGACCCCCAACCCAGGGGTTCCATCCAATCTCAGGCAGGCTCCAACCTGTTGCTGGTGGATGGTTGGAATTCCAAGCCAGTAGCTCTTATATTGTCAGGTGCTGTGCAAGTGGGGCTCTCAGAACCATGCTGCTTCGCTTCCTGTATTCAGCCTCCTTCCTACTGGTATGTGTGGACCTCTCACCTTGCCTGAGTTGCAGACATGTTTGTTGGGGATCCCTAGGCCAAAGGATGTAAAGCTCCTGGGTTTCTATGTGTGCCTAAGCAGCAGCTCTGCCAAAACTCTACACAACTCTGTGTGTTGGACCTAAGGCCCTGGTGGCATGGACTAACAAGGGGATCTCCTGATCCATAGGTGCAAAGATCTGCAGGAGAAGCATGGTTACCGGAGGCCAACACAATCACTCACCGCTTCCCTTGGCTGGGGTTTGGGGTTCCCTTGGCTCCAGGTGGCTCCCCGGTGGGCCATCACCCCATTCAACTTTTCTTCAATCTCTGTGGGTTCAGTTGTTTTCCTGATCAGTCCCAATGTAAGTACCAAGATACTTCAGTTGCAGATGCTGTATTAACTCACCCCTTTCGTTCCTCTTCATGAGTGCTACAGACCACAGCTACTTCTAATCAGCCATCTTCACCCCCTCAGCTATATTTATATCAGATTAAAAATACTTTAAGTTTAAAACTTAAAGAGAAAAAATATATGATGATATGAGAGTGAATTCATCAAGAGAGTATATCACTTCTAAGTATGTATGTACCCAACATTGGAACACATAAATATATAAAGTAAACATTAACAGATAAGAAGGAAGAGCTAGAGTATAATGCAATAATAGTAGAGGATTCAATAACCCACTTTCAGCAATAGACAGATTGTCCAGTCAGAAAATGATTGAGAAAACATTAAACTTAAACTACACTTGATACCATTAGAACCTAAAAGACATATACAGAATATCCCCACCGATAGCAGCAGAGTACATATTCTCCTCAAATGCACATGGAATATTCTCCAGGTTAGATCACCTGTTAGGCTGCAAAACATGTCTAAACAGATTTTTTAAAATAGAAATCATATCAAGTATTGTTTCCAACAACAATGGAACTACTAATTAATACGAGGATGAATTTTGGAAAATTCACAAATACATGGAAATTTTAAAAACATGCTCCTGAACAACCAATAGGTAAGAAGAAATTAAAAGGGAAATTTAAAAATATCTTCAGACACACAAACATAAACACACAACATGCCAAATCTTAAGGGATGCAGCAAAAGCGGTTCTAACAGGAAAGTTTACAGTAGTAAGAATGTACTTCAAAAAAGATTTCACTTAAATAGCCTAATATTACATTCATCAGAAATTTAGTATAAGAAAGGAAATAATAAAGATCTGAGCAGAAATAAATGACACAGAAATTTAAAAAAAACAGAAAAGATCAATGTCACTGAGTTTATTTTTAAGATAAATAAAGTCTACAAACCTTTATCTGGACTGGAAAAAAAAGGAAAATCAAATTTAGAAATCAGAAATGAAAGGAAAAACATTACAACCAATACCACAGTAATAAAAAGGAACATAAGAGATTATTATGAGTACTTATATGCCACAAATTGGACAACCTTGAAGAAATGCATAAGTTCTTATAGAAATACAACTTACCAAGATTTAATTTTGAAGAAAGAGAAAATCTGAACATATCAATAATTGCGAGTAAAAAGATTGAATTCGTAATAAAAAGTCACCCATCAAAGAAATGCCTAGGGTGTGATGGCTCTCTCTATATACAAATCACTAAATGTAATACACTACATTAAGGGAATGAGTAACAAAACCACATAATTATCAGAATAGATACAATAAAAGCATTTGATAAAATTCAACATATCTTCATGATAACAATTCCAAACAAATTAGGTATAAAAGGAAAATACCTCAACATAAAAAGGCTATATATGCTAAACTCATAGATAATATTATTACACTCAATGGGGAAAAGTTGAAAGCTTTTCCTCTAAGATCAGGCACAAAACATAAAAGTGGACTTCCCATACTTCTAGTCAACTGGGTACTGCAAGTCCTATTTAGAACAATTAGGACAGAAAAAGCAAGTAAAATGTATGCAATTGGGAAAGCAGTTCAATTGTCCCTAATTGTAGATGACAGGATCTTATATGTAGAAAGCCCTTATGACTAAACAATAAAACTGTTAAAAACAGTAAGCAAATTTAGAATAGTTGCAGGATTCAAAATCAACATATAAAAATCAGTAGCACTTATATATACTAACAGCAAATTATCTGAAAAAAAAATCAAGAAAAAAATCCCATTTACAATTGCTAAAAAATATAAAATAAAAAAGAATAAATTTAACAAAGAGGTAAAAAAAAAACCTGTACTCTAAACTCCATCAATTATTAGTAAAGGAAATTGAAAAAAATATATAAATAAATGGGTAAATATCAGTTCTCCTGGAGGGGAAGAATTAATATTGCTAAAATGTCCATACCACTTAAAGTCATCTATAGATTTATTACAATCTCTATTGATACTCCAATGACATTATTTCAAAAATAAAAAATACAATCCTAAAATTTGTGTGAAACCACAAAAGATCTAGAATAGCCAAAACAGTCTAGAAAATAAGAACTGATGCCAGTTCTTCTTTGTGGGTTTGGTAGAATTCAGCTGTAAATTTATCCGGTTCTGGGTTTTTGTTTTTGTTTTTTCCCCTGCCAGATTTTGTATTACTGTTTCAATCTTATTTCAATCTCACTATACTCATTATTGGTCTGTTCAAGATTTATATTTCTTCCTGATTTAATCTTGGGAGGTTGTATGTTTCCAGGAATTTATTCATATCCTACAGGTTTTGTAGCTTGTTGTTGTAGTTGTTCATAGCGATATCTGAAGATCTTTTGTATTTCTGTGGTATCAGTTGTTGTAATATCGCCTTTTTCATTTCTGATAATGTTTATTTGAATTTTCTCTTTCCTTTTCTTGGTAAGTATAGCTAGTGATTTATCAATTTTGTTTGTCTTCCCAAAACACTAACTTTTTGTTTCATTATATCTTTGTATTTGTTTACACTTTCATTTAGTTTTGCTCTTTGTTAATTTGTTAATTATTTTCTTCTCAGCTTTGTGTCTGTTTTTTTTCTTGTTTTTCTATTTCTGTGAGGTGCAAAATTTGAAGAGAAATTTTGTGATCTTTCTATTTTTTTGATGTAAGCATTTAACAATATAAGCTTCCCTCTTAGCACTGCTTTTACTGTATCCCAGAGGTTTTGATATGCTGTATCTCAATATTCTTCTTGTTATTTTTTTTCAAAAAATGTGTTACTTCCATCTTAGTGTTTTCATTGACCCAAAGATTTATCAGGAATATATGGTATTATTTTCAGGTATTTGTGTAGTTTCAAGAGTTCCTCTTGATATTGATTGATAACTTTATTCTACTGTGGTCTGTAAAGATGCTTGATATTATTTGAGATTAAAAAATGTATTGAGACTTGTTTTGTGGCCTAATATATTGTCTATCTTGGAGAATGTTCTATGTGTGGATGAGAAGAATGCGTATTCTGAGATTATGGGGTAATATCTTCTGTAATTATGTTAACTACCTTTGACCTTAAGTCCAATTGAAGATCAAGGTTTGTGTGGTGGTTGTTGTTGTTATTCTTGTTGTCGACTTTATATTTCAATAATCTGTATATTGGTGTTGGTGGAATTTTGATCTTCCCAGTCTTTACATTTAGTAATATTTGTTTTAATAATCTTTGTGCTCCAATGTTTGGTGCACATACATTCAGGATTGTTATATTCTCTTGTTGAATTTATTCTTTCATTATTACATAATATCATTCCTCATATTTTTTTAATATTTTTGATTTGAAGTCTGTTTGATATCATTATAGTTACTCCCGCTTGCATTTGATTTCTGTTTGCATGGATTGTCTTTTCCTCTCACTTTCTTTCAGTCTATACCTTAACCAGTAGGGTGAGTTTTTTAAGCAGCATAGAGTTGGTTCGTGATTTTTTTAATCCATTCCACTAATCTATATCCTTTAGTCAGAAAATTTAATCCATTTATGTACAAGGTTAACATTGATATATAAGTTTTCATTCCTATTTGAATGTTGTATGTCATCTAGTTGTTTTGTGGGTTCTTTGATGCTTTCTTTTCCGTCTGTCTTTTGGGTTTGATGAAGTTCTGTCATGTTTCCATTTGATTTATTTCTCTTCCTCCTTAGTGTAATTGTTTTATAAGACTGATGAGTTTTATACTTACTTGTGTTTTTATGATGATGAATATTAAACTTTAATTTATATATTGCATACTTCCAGCATTGTTATGCTAATCTCTTTGTATCTGGAGTTTAATTTCCTTTTGATGAGACTTACTTTTTTTTCTTTTCCTCTTGAGGATGTGACTATAATGTATGTTGAGAAGGGCCATTTGGCTTTTCTTCTGGGTTTGTTCACTGGCAAAGTGTCTGTATGTATCCCTGGGTTAGACAGACATAGTGTGGGGCTTTTCTCAAATGCTGATTGTAGTAACAGTTGACTGAGTAGGTGAGCAGGCACATGGCATTCCAAGAAACTGAGGTGGTAGAAGTCATGAGATGCTTACCGTGTTCCCAAGCACTGTGTATTTTTGTCAATAAATTTTGTATTAGATTGAATAGGTTGACCTCCAGGTCAGTAGGTGGCACTTGTATGTAAGAGCTAATTGTGGTGGTAGCACTAGGGTTTATACTTGATCTTTGTTTACCAGGAAAAGCTCTCTGGTGTCCCAGGCAATGGGTCAGTATTCAGGACATTTAGTTCAGTTAGACATTGCTGTTTATTTATAGAACTATAAGAAATGCTAAAATCCTTTGAGTATTTCTTGCACTTCCAGTCTAGTATTGAAAAATTCTATCAGTATTTACTTATCTGGAAAAGATTTTATTTCTCCTTCACTTATAAAGCTTACTGTTGTAGGACATGAAATTCATGATTGACAGTTTATTTCCATAAGAACTCATAAAATAGGACCCCATTTTTGTTGGGCTTTAAAGTTTCTGTTAAGAAACGTAAATCTTATGGGGATTTCTTTATGTGTGACTAGACACTTTTCTCTTGCTAATATTAAGATATTTTTTCTTCACATTGACTTTAGACAGCCTGGTGAATATATGTCATGGTGAAATCCTTCTTGAAATGTATTTTGCTGCTGTTTTGTTGAGCCTCTTCTATCTGAATATCTAAATTTCTTGAAAGAATAGAAAAATTTATCATAAACTATTTACTTAAATAAGTTTCTAAACTTTTTGCTCTTTCTTGACCCTCAGGAATAGCAATCACTTAAAAGTTTAGATGCTTTATTTAGTCCCACGCTACTCAAAAGCTTTCCTTATTCTTTTAAATTCTTTTTACTTTATGTTTGTTTGACTGAATTAATTTAAAAGACCTGCCTTCAAGTTCTGAGATTCTCTCTTCTGCTTGATCTATTTTTGAAGTTTTCAACTGTATTCTGTAATTCCTTCAATGAATATTTTATTTCCAGAAGTTCTGTTGGTTTTACTATAAGATATCTCTTTCCTTGGTAAATTTATTATTCATACACTGATTTGATTTTCTAAAGTCTATGAATTGGTTTCCAGATCTCTCTTGGATTTCATTGAGCTTCTTTAAAATTATTGATAATATTTTTAATTCTTTATTTGGCATTTTACAAATTTCATATTTGTAGAATCCATTGCTAAAAAGTTAGTGGCATTTTTGAGGGCTGTCATATCAATCTGATTTTGCTTACTTCCAGTGTTGCTATAGTAGTTTCTTTGTATCTGGAATTTAATTTCATTTCAATGAGACTTTTTTTCCTTGCGTCTAGAGAATGTGACTATAACATATGTTGAGAAGGGCCACTTGGATTTGCTTCTGAGTTTGTTCACTGGCATAGTGTGTGTATAATTCCCTTGGTTATAGATAGGCTTAGTGTGGTGCTTTTCTCAAGTGCTGATTGTAGTAGTAGCGGAGTGAGCAAGTGAGTAGACTCATGGCCTTCTGAGAAGCTGAGGGGATAAAAGTCATGAGAAGCTTATCTTGTCCCCAAGCACTGTGCATTTTTGTCAACAAATTTTGTATTAGATTGTATAGGCTGACCTCCAGGTCAGTAGGTGGCACTTGCATGTAAGAGCTGATTGTTGTCTTAGCACCAGGGTTAATATTTGATCTTTATTTACCAGGGTAAGCCCTCCGGTATCCCATGCAATGGGTCAGCATTCAGGACATTCAGTTCAGTTAGATATTAGTGTTTACTTCTAGGATGCAATGTAGCTCAGAGTCACAGGGAACACCAGCTCTGCAGCTCAGCACCAAACCTCTGTGTCACCTGGTAGTGGCTTCAGCATGGAGTCTGTCCCCATTTCCCCAAACAACATTGCTCTCTAGATCTCTTTGGCAAAAACATTGCAGCTCTGTGCAGAAATGGGGAGAGCCCCACCCTTTGCATAAGTACAGGCCCAGAGGCAACACCCCTAGAGTGGGGTTACAGTCATAATTCACAGCTCCAGATAGGTTGATCTCTGAATCACTTGTATCAATTTCTTGTGACCAGCAGTAGTGGCTGTATTTGCAGCAGTGTGTGGAGGAAGTGTAAAAGTTCTTTTCTACATGCCTGGGCTCTAGCACAGAGGTTGGTGGGATGGGATGTCATGCCTCTCCTTTATATCCAAGCAAAGAGTTTTTGTCCTGTTGGATGCAGAGTCACCTCTCACAGCACGAAATAGGGAGTTCTTTGGTACTTGAAAGCATGTGCCTTGGTTTCCTTTGTTTCAGGGTCTATCCGCTGGTTTACTGTAGTTTCCCTTCAATAGCGGTAGCACTCCCTGAGGGCTATGTTACTAGGAATGCTGCAGCTTCTTTGGAACTAGCTAGCACTGTGCCAACACAATCCTCTGAGTGGGGAGTAGGAAATATCAGTGGGTGATCCTGATATGTGGAAACAAAAGGATTGATGTTCCCAAGAGGAATGTAGTCCCCTGATGGCTGCACCCTCCAATAGTACCCTGCTGCAGCTGCATGCATCTGGGGAGAGGGTGAGCAACCCACTATGAGTTTGCAATCTGTTGTAATGCCCTCAAGAAGTTTCCAAATCACAACCCACACTAGAGTCAGGATTCAAAATGGCAGAGGAGGATCTCTCACAGTTTGGACACTGGCAGTCTGCGGCAGGGATGTTGGGAGCCAAAACACTCCCACTTAACTTTTCCACACAATGACAAGTCCCTCTGGTTTCCTAGCCAATTTGTCAGCTGATTTTGCCTCTTACTTACTTCTTTTTCTGTGCCTTTGTTTTTGCCCATGAGTTTTCTACTGAGTTTTAGTATTCTGTTCTTGATCATCTATTTCAAGTTACGATTATCTATTTTGTAATTTTGGTTCATTTTTTTGAGGAGAACTGGTTTCCAAAGTTTCTAACAGGCCATTTTGAACCTTCCCTCTCATTACCTGTTGTTTTTTTTAAATTGGTAGTTAACAGATCTATTTTCAGCTGAAATTTATATTTTCATATAAATATTAATTGTTATATCATTAAAAATCTGTTATAAATTTTGTATAATGATTTGCAAATCAATATCATATACCTATTCAAACCTTTTCCCTTCTTCATAGTTTATTTCTGAGAAGATTTTAATTAAGCTCAGAGTTTTCTTTCAATCTCCCCTCAAAACATATGTATGTGTATATATATATTTATATGTGCGTGTATATATATATACGCGCACATATAAATATATATAAATTACTCACTTATAACTGTATATCTTAGACTTTTAAATACTATCTTATTTCAAGCTTACGTTTACAACCTACTGTAGTAGTAATTATTTTTGCATTTAAAACATTTCCTTGTGGATCAGGGAGGTAATATGATTTGTAAGCTACAAATCATCTTTTACTGTGTTACTTTAATGGCATTTCCATGTCAGCTGGCCTACTAATATCAACTTCTCCTTTAGGAAGTGGGCTATGTACAAAGGCATAATCATGAAAGAACAAACCTGATCTTGAAATATCCCCACAACTACTGTTGAAAATCACTTGTGAGCCCTACAGACTCAGAAGAATAGTGAATAAACACAATTGAACTTGTTTCAAACATTTTTCATGATTTTAAATATTTTCATAGCAAAACAAACAAGCATTTAATGCAATTCCTGATTTGAACAGCTAATATTATGATTTCCAACTTTCAGTTAAAAATAGGCTGGACAAAATTATTGGAAGTGCTGGGACAGCATTTTTTCAAAAATATAATATTTTAATTTTATCAAGTGATGGCCTTGTATTTTAAATTGTTGTTAGGCAAACCTAAGTCTAGTCATGTATATATATATATACACACACACACACACAAATATATACACATATATATACTCACATATAAATATATAAATTACTCACTTATAACTGTAAACTGTGTATCTTAGACTTTTAAATACTATCTTATTTCAAGCTTATGTTTACAACCTACGGTAGTAGTAATTATTTTTGCATTTAAAACATTTCCTTGTGGATCAGGGAGTTAATATGATTTGTAAGCTACAATCTAACAATTAAACTTGTAAAAATTGAGTAGAAACCTCATTTTAGTAAACCTTTGACCATGTAATGAGATACTCTGTGTGTGTGTGGTGGGAGGGTTCGGGGTATTTGTGAGAAATGGCTGGGAGGAAGAGAGAAAGACTATGGATTCTTGATAGTGGTGCTGAATTTGAAGTGCTTATCATTCTATCCCTGAACTCCAGACTCACAGTCTTATATTTCTGATCCATTCTATAAACCATTTTAAAGAGTGTTCAAGGCCATAATTTCATCAAAGTCAAGAACAAGGGATTTAAGACAACTTCTCCTGGTAGAAAAATGAAGAAGACACATAGGATGTTTTACTTTGGTCCCTGAATTATAAAATTAAATATAATTAAATATTAATTTATAAATATGGGATACTTTCATAGTGCATACAATTACATGCTTATGTATAATAATTTACTACAAAATACTTTATACAAAGGGTATGATATATGTTTATACTATTGTTAATTTATAAAATAATTAGTATTTAAAATACACTAATCAGAAATCCAAGTTTCTGAAGTGGTTAATACCAAATTCTTAAAATATTAATATAAATTTTTTGTATGAAGGTGTTCAATAACTAACTTACACAAATTGAAAAAATAATATTTTAATGAAATAATTGGTGCTCAATAAATGTGGTTATTTAGAAAGATCTTCTGGACTCCAGTGCTCTTACATTAATCAAATTTATAAATCTGGCAATACTAAAAGCCAAATAGTGATGGAACAGAGATAGAATTCAAAAGCATTGTCTGGCCCTGGGTTTCTTGCATAATATAAGTCTCTGTTCCTGTTCTGATTCTGGAGGCATACACATTATAGTACAGAAATATGTTTTCAATTTACTTGTGTAGTATCTTAGGAGTAGAGATTACTAGGTTGTATAATATTAATATTTTATATAATAATATAATATTAAATTGTTTAAAAATCAGCAGTTTTCAAATGGCTACAGCGTTTTACATAGCTATTATGTAATAGCATAACAATCAATATGATGGCTCCATTTTCTCCAAATCATCACTAATATTACTGAAACTACAGGAGTTCAGTCTAGGTTCTGCTGCTCACTGAACAGAAAAAGGCCAATCACTGAGACAGTGAGTATTTCCAGGGAAAAAGCTTTAATTGGGTGCTGTACCCAAGGAAATGGGGATCAATCTCAAATCCATCTCCCTGACTGACTAAAATTACGAGTTTATATAGCAGGGAAGAACTGCAACTGCATTCAGCAAAACAGGAATTAGGAAGGGGTAAGGAAGATAAGTTGCTCAACAGAAAGGAGGTGGTCACTTAGGCAATCATGATGGGTGAGGGGTCTTGATTGCCCGTTGTCCAGATGTGGTAATATGGGAGGCCTGATGGTTGGTTTCCTGAGAAAGAAACTAAGATAAGACACATGTACCTTTCTAAGGTTTCAAGATTGGAAGGTTCAATTTCTATGTTTATTCAAAAGAAACCTGACACATCAGTTATACGAGAAAATTTGGTCAGTTTCAGCCCTCTACCCCGTTTTCATTTATCAGTTCTCAATCATGAAGGATCTGTTCATCAATCTTCCTGGCTGCTTCATGCTGAGGAGGGGCGTCATGGGCAGCTCCATACCATCAGTGACCACATGACTACCCAGGGGTCAAAGGCTAATCAAATACTATAGTTTTCTTCCGAAACACTTTTTTTATCTTTCCAGTCTCCTTCTTCGATCAAAGACAAATCACAGCAGGACCAACCTACCTAAAAATAAGCTTCAGTCCCATATACTTGGCCTGTTTACCCACACAAAATATAGAAAGACTCATTGTTCACATAGGCTCTCCAAAATTAGGTTTGCTGAAATCTCTCACAAGGCCATTTCAGTCAAAGTCCTAATAAAATAACCAATTCTTCCAAATCTGTCCCTTTTTAAAAGAAAAATTCTTGTTGAACTTACGTAAACAACCACATTGCCATGAATTAAAAATATTCACAAATAGTTTAAGAATTCTGGATAAATTAGGCAGTGAGAGAGAAATATGCCTCAAATTGTTTACAAGGATATACCCTACTCAATTTTTAAAGGCTATAAATAGCTCCAAAGGAAAAACAATTCTCCAGATTCTGAAGAATCAGTAATGTTTTAAACAAAAAAGCCATAAAAATATATTTTATTCCTCCATTATTTTAGTTCATGCAATAAACTCCTGCTTTCTTCATATTGGGTTGGTAATCTTTATGAACAAATCAGACTTTCAATAAGTGCCCTGGAAGTTTTATCTTTAATCCAGTGGTACAACCTCCAAAGTTATCAGACACCTGTATCCAAGATTATGTTACTTTTTGAGAAGGATCAAAGCAACACAACAATTGTGGATGAAAAATGTCTTGGGATAGATGTAGTTAAAGACATAATTGACAAGAAAACTTGGTTATTTCTGTAGCATATAACAATTTTACATTATAATCATAGTTATTGTTGACAATGTACCTTACAAAATATCAGAATTTTAGGAAACTCATACAATCCTGAAACACACGTTAATAACATATCTCTATAAATATAACCCAAAGGAAGTTAAACACCACCACAGATTTGACAATGCTTCCTTTATAATTCTAACATACAAATAAGACTAAAATATCTTTCTTGGACTTCAGGGAATTCAATATCCAAAAAAAGTTAGTTTGAGGTCAGAAAGGCTGATTTTAGAACTTGAATATTTACTCTTGGAAAGCTTGTCAAATATCAAAGTTTTAGGATACTTGATATCACAAAATAGGATCACAAGTCACTATAAAATAATTATTTAGCTCAAATGATAAAACAAAACGTTTACCCTTTGACATAGAAGAGACAGTTTCCCAAACAATAAGACCTAGTAGACATATGAGGCCAAATAAATCTGTCTCTTCCTCTGACTTTTATTCCCTGCAATTTACTCAAAAGGTAAACACAAATATTTTATAATCTTTTATTAATATTACACATTTTGTTCAAAAAAGAAAAACAAATTTTACCTTTGTAAGTTGTATTATAAATGATGTCTAGTTTTAATAAAGCCTTATAAACAGATCTATTTAATTTTTTCAGTTTTGCCATAAGGTAATACTACTTTAAACATTTTATAACCTTTTGTAATTTTCTATTAAAGAGCAGATCAATGCTCCACACAAACCATGTTATTTTGACACAGAGGCCCAGATGCTCTTCTTGTACTGATGTGCTTTTTATAATAAAGTTTAGTTTATAAAAAAAACTTTAAAATAATTTTATCCCTCAAAGTCAGCCCTCATAATCTCACATGCCCACATTTTTTACAGTAGTCCCTGGGCCTACAGGGATTAAATAGTTTGAATATATGGCACTGTGTCTCATGAAAACAGTCCATTTTCACAGTCACCTTCTCCAGTGGCTGAAGACAAGGCTTTGACTGGTATCAGTGTTCAATATTTAGCAGGATTCAGTGACTTTTTGAGACCCGGAAGTCAAAGCCCAACTTAACAGCACAAGGATTAGTTAGCAGGATATTCATACTGCATAAAGTCTTTTCATTCTCTCTATCATGTCACAAATTAAAGCACTGTGATTTAGTGTCTAGTGGTCGCTGTCCACAGTACTTCAAACAACCAAATTAGGTAAGTTACTTACCGTGTATATCTAATTGCTAGCATTTTAGTGACAGAACTGTGACCCTAACATCACAAATGTGATAGATGTTATGCCGGACTTATCAAAGTAATAAAATTAACTTTTCCCCCATCATTTAAAAAATGACAAATAAAAACATCAGTTTTGAAAATTCAATATGAGGATAAATGATCTCCTTTTATTTAAAGACTATACAACAAAACGAGGGCAAAGTGAAAAAAAGTCACAGAATAACTTCTTTTTAGCTATTCTAACAGAACATCATCACACATTTCCAACACGGGTTTCTAGATACAATAATGACAACTAATTGACCAAAGGGTCAATTTCCACATTTATTCAAAAGAAATATAAAACATCAGTTCTACAGGATGGTTGGGCTGATTTCACTAACACCTGGTATTCTCGGAATTTTAGATTGTAACAATTCTAGTGGATGTAAAATAATACCTGACTGATTATGATTTCTATTTTTCTATTGATTAAATTTGTTGAGTATCTTTTCACGTGCTTATTGGGCATTTATATATTATTATTTTTCTAACATATGTTAAAATATTTTATTAATATTTTCTTGAATGTGCACATGAGACTTTTGAAGTAGAGCATATTTTCAGTGTATCATAGAGCAAATAATAACTCGATAGTTCCTCTTTGCATTAATCCTTATTCTTGTCATATGGTGACAGCTAGCTTTATCTGACATGTTAAGGGGGTCTATTATTTATAAGAAACCCCATAAAATGAATCTGGGTGTTGATGTAGGACAGAGGGAACTTTCTTCACTCTCCATTTTTCAGATCCTTGAAAACTGCATGAATATGATTTTGAATTCTTCTAATCCTTTGGAATATAAATAAATGTTTTATAATTATTGTTTACACATTTTTAAAAAATTAGTTATAACAAAAAAGAGAGAACACTAATTCCACTGCTTTATATTTATGTATATAATTAATTACCTTTATCAGTGATCTTTATTTGGGTGGATTTGACTTGTCGTCTGGTGTCACTTTCTCACATTTCAAATGATTTTCTGCAATATTTCTTGTGAAACAGGCTGCTATCAGTGTTTATCTGGGACGTCTTTATTTCACCTTGTGCATCTTTTTGAAGGATAGTATGCTCAATGTAGATTTTTGGCTAACATTATTTTCTTTACGCATTTAAAATATTCTATTTCACTGTCTTTTGGCATCTACTTCTGTTTCTACTTAGCAGATAATTAATTTTTTTTTTTTTTTTTTTTTGAGACAGAGTCTCTCACTGTTGCCCGGCCTGGAGTACAATGGTGAGATCTTGGCGCACTGCAACCTCCACCTCCTGGGTTCACTCGACTATCCTGCCTCAGCCTCCTGTGTAGCTGGGATTACAGGCACACACCAACACGCCTGGCTAATATTTATTTATTTATTTATTTATTTATTTATTTATTTATTTTATATTTTAGAAGAGATGGGGGTTTCACTATGTTGCCCAGACTGGTCTCAAACTCCTGACCTTGTGATCCACCCATCTTGGCCTCCCAAAGTGCTGGGATTACAGGTGTGAGCCACCTCGGCAGGATGCAGATAATCTTATGATGTTTCCCTTGCATGTGAGGATTTTACTTTTCTCCTGATTTCATTTTTGTTTTCTCTTTCTTTTTTTTTTTTGAGACGGAGTCTCGCTCTGTCACCCAGGCTGGAGTGCAGTGGCGCAATCTCGGCTCACTGCAAGCTCTGCCTCTCGGGTTCACTCCATTCTCCTGCCTCAGCCTCCTGAGTAGCTGGGACTACAGGCACCCGCCACCACGCCCAGCTAATTTTTTGTTTCATCATGTTAGCCAGGATGGTCTAGATCTCCTGACCTTGTGATCTGCCCGCCTGGGCCTCCCAAAGTGCTGGGATTACAGGCGTGAGCCACCACACCCAGCCTCTTTTTTTTTTAGTTATTTGACTTATAACACAACTATTGAGAGGTGACAGTGTGCTGGCAGCCCTTGCAGCCCTTGCTCGTTCTCGGCGCCTCCTCAGCCTCCGTGCCTGCTCTGGCCGCGCTTGAGCAGCACTCCAGCCTGCCGCTGTACTGTGGGGGCCCCTTTCTGGGCTGGTTGAGGCCGGAGCCGGCTCCCTCAGCTTGCTGGGAGGTGTGGAGGGAGAGGCGCGGGCGGGAACCTGGGCTGCACGGGGCGCTTGCGGGCCAGCGCGAATTCCAGGTGGGTGTGGGCTTGGCAGGCCCCACAGGCCCCAGGCAGTGAGGGGCTTATCACCCGGGCCAGCAGCTGCAGAGGGTGCGCAGGGTCCCCCAGCAGTGCTGGCCCACCAGCGCTGCACTCAATTTCTCATGGGGCCTTAGCTGCCTTCCCGCGGGGCAGGGCTCCAGACCTGCAGCCCACCATGCCTGAGCCTCCCCCGGGCCCACCCCGCTGTGGGCTCCTGCACAGCCAGAGCCTCCACAACGAGCACCGCCCCCTGCTCCACACAGGTCCCTTCCACCACCCAAGGGATAAGGAGTGCAGGCACAAAGCGCGGGACTGGTAGGCAGCTCCACCTGCAACCTGGGTGCAGGATCCACTGGGTAAAGCCAGCTGGGCTCCTGAGTCTAGTGGGGACTTGGATGAACATTTATGTCTCGCTAAGGAATTGTAAATACACCAATCAGCACTCTGTATCTAGCTCAAGGTTTGTAAATACACCAATCAGCACCCTGTGTGTAGCTCAGGGTTTGTGGATGCACCAATCAGCACTCTGTATCTAGCTGATCTGGTGGGGACTTGGAGAATTTTTATGTCTAGCTAAGGGAATGTGAATACACCAATCAGCACTCTGTTTCTAGCTCAAGGTTTGTAAATGCACCAATCATCTCTCTGTATCTAGCTCAAGGTTTGTAAATGCACCAGTCAGCACTCTGTGTCTAGCTCAGGGTTTGTAAATATACCAATCAGCACTCTGTATCTAGCTAATCTAGTGGGTACTTGGAGATCTTTTGTGTCTAGCTCAGGGATTGTAAACACACCAATCAGCACCCTGTCAAAACAGACCACTCAGCTCTCTGTAAAATGGACCAATCAGCTCTCTGTAAAATGGACCAATCAGCAGGATATGGGTGGGGCCAGATAAGGGAATAAAAGCAGGCTGCCCAAGCCAGCAGTGGCAACCCGCTGGGGTCTACTTCCACCTTGTGGAAGCTATGTTTTTTTGTTCTTTGCAATAAATCTTGCTGCTGTTCATTCTTTGGGTCCACACTGCTTTTATGAGCTGTAACACTCACTGCGAAGTTCTGCAGCTTCTCTCCTGAAGCCAGCAAGACCACAAACCCACCAGAAGGAAGAAACTCTGAACTCATCCGAACATCAGAAGGAACAAACTCTGGACACGCCAACTTTAAGAACTGTAACACTCACCGTGAGGGTCTGCGGCTTCATTCTTCAAGTCAGTGAGACCAAGAACTCACCAATTCCGGACACACTATGATGTGTTTATGTTTAGTTGGTGGTATCTGTTTTTTTTAATTTGAGACAGAGTCTCACTTTACCACCAGGCTGGAGTGCAGTGGCATGATCTCGGCTCACTGCAACCTCTGCCTCCAGAGTTTGAGCGATTTTCTTGCCTCAGCCTCTCGAGTAGCTGGGACTACAGGTGTGCACCACCACGCCCAGCGAAATTTTGTATTTTTAGCAGAGGCAGGGTTTCACCATGTTGGCCAGGATGGTCTCAATCTCTTAACCTCATCTGCCTGCGTCGGTCTCTCAAACTGCTGGGAATACAGGCGTGAGCCACCACGGCCAGCCAGTTGGGGATACCCTAAGTTTATCTCACTTGGAGTTTATTGAGCTTGCTAAAAGTACAGATAAATACTTTTTTAATTAAATTTAGGGACTTTTATTTTCCTTATTGATCTTCAAGTTTGTTGATTCATTATTCTTAAAGCCCATATTTTCTGTTGAGTCTGTCTAGTACATTTACATTTAAGTTATTGTATTTTTAAATCCAGTGTTTCCATTTGGTTCTGTTTTTTTTTTTTTTTAATTCTACTCGCTGTATTCGTATTTTCTACTTGATGAGTCATTGTTAGACACACCTTTGATTATTTAATAATAGTTTCCCCGGGGTTTTGAAGACAGTTATAACATCTTGCTAAGTCCAATGTATGGGACTTATTTTGGGTTTGTTTTTTCCCCGGTGCATGGGTTATAATTTTTTTGCACATTTTTTCCATTGTCATTGTTAAAAACTGGATATCTTAGGTAATATATTCTAAAACACCTGGAATCTAATTTTCCATTTCATGGTGGTGTTTGTTATTGCTATTTTTGTGTTTGTATGTTTAGTGACTTGCTTTGCCTAATTGTGTGACATCTGTGAATCTCACAATTTGGCTCTATTCCTTATTTATCTTTTTAGTCGTGTTATTAGATTTTAGCCAGCCTTCTTAGGGTTGCTTCTGGATTGGCATAGCTTATTTTTTAGCCTATGATTAGTTATAAGTTGTGCTTTAACACTTGGAGCTTAAACACTGCCTAGTCAACAATGGCTTTCATCATCGGCCAATTGAATTATGACTAGGTTGGAGAATTTATTAAAAACTCAGACTTTAGAAGTGTTTCACACATATTACTTTCTTTGTTCAAAAGGGTACATGTTTATCCATGGAAGAGTAGATTACAAAGGTCCCTTCTGGTCTCTCTTAAGGTTATTAGCTTTGTGTGTCCACAGGTTTTATAGAAGGCTGGGATAAGTAGAATGTTAAGACAATCTTTGTCTCTTTCCTTTCATTTACATTCTAAATATTTGACTTTTCTGCAATTGTACTTTTTGACTGAACTGGTGTAATGGCTAATTGTAAAGTTGGTCTTTCCTGATTGACATTGGTACTGCTATAATCTTTGACAATTCTGGGTATATAATAATTTTTCTTGCTTTGCTTCCAGTAAAGTCTTCTTGCTCTACTAGTCTGCTCTGCCTGTCCCAACCTAGTAGAACTTCTGTACTAGGGAGAAGAATTGCAGAAGTCGCTTCCAGAACAAAACACTACAGACTCCCATTTTTCTTACTGTGATACAATACACTTTTTTGAATACGTGCTTTTATATTTTGAATACGTGGTATATTATATATTTACCATATATATTTCTTCAGTTTCCAGTCTTTGAATAGATGTTTGAATAATTATGTCCAGTTTTTTTCGTTTTTTTTTTTTGAAACAGGATTTGCTAAGCTCTTCCTCAGTCATTGTAAAAGTCACCTAAGCCCTTTCAGTCATTGTGATCTCAGTGTCTTGCCATTATATGGTACTAATTTACAGCCTCTCCTCAGTTTGGAATGAATGAATCTTACCAAATAAATTTATGTTTTTTGGTATTCATTGATTCTATTTGAGAATATTGTGAGAAATCTGTGTTATGATAATCAAATCTCTGCATTTGGACTTATAGTACCATTTTCAAGGAATTCTGCTTCCATGTCTGAAGAATGTTCTGTAATTTTAATTCCTTTTAGATATACATGTTGCTCTTCCAAATTTTGCAGATCTAGGAAATGCTAAATTTAAAGAACTTCACTTTCAAAATCTTTTGCAAAATGTCAAGAGCTGCATCTACTTAACAAGAACTGAGGCTACCATACAACCTGCTCTCTAATTTTTTTCTCTATTCTACTTCGGAATATTGTCTGTCTGACTTGTGTTGGGGTAGTCCAGTGATTTTATTAATTGGGAAAAAATCAGCTTAAAGGTTACCTGTGACCCAAAAAAGTGATTCTCACTTAATAGAATCTCAAATTTGTATGTTATATATTTTTCACATTATGGAAGATTCCTATTGGCTACTAGACTTAATAATTTTTTTGTTTAACCATTTTATGGATTCCTTTATGTAAACAATGTTTCAGATGTTGGCCACCACTCATTTAGATGGTTAGAATCTCTTGATTTTTTTTTTTTATCTTTTCTCCCTTTATTCAACTGATAGTGTGAGGGAAGAGCAAACAAAACTTTAGAATGCATGTTTATTGGAAAACCTTGTTATTTATGTATTTGTGTTTACTTCATCCATAGATATTATTAGACATAAAATATGTTTCCAGTATGGTGCTGTGTACAGACAGAAGATATACTGACAAGTAACTAATTTGTCTCTATAAATATAGTAAAAAAATCAAAATGTGATAAATTAACATCTAATTTCCATAAATCTGCAGCATTTTCCATTAAATATACATAACATATTGAATATTATGAAGTTCAAATATATATCCATTATGTCCCTAAAATTATTAGGTATAATTGGTTATCAACTTCAATTTTAATGCAAGCTCTGAATGGAGAAATTATAAATTTTTATGCATTCTATACTGTTGTGTCAGATCTGTAACTATAAATATTTAACTTTGATTTTATAATAAATATATCCATATGAGCTCATAATACCTATTAAAGTGAGTACAATCTACCAGAAGATTGTAGTTGAAGTCTTTCTTATCAATTTTTAAATAAAATTATTTAAAGTCTCAGAGTGTTAGATTTTTTTGGTAAAATAGATATGGTATGCATCATGCTCTTCTAAGACATTTTGGAGACAAAAGGCAAAAAAATGACGTGCTTAAAT
The DNA here is from genome assembly GCF_000001405.40 of Homo sapiens. Taxonomy (NCBI): domain Eukaryota; kingdom Metazoa; phylum Chordata; class Mammalia; order Primates; family Hominidae; genus Homo; species Homo sapiens. The sequence goes on along the minus strand of NC_000007.14, from coordinate 119,409,259 downwards.
ATAAAAACGATATATCAATTTGGATTTTTATACAAAGACCAAGGTCTTAATTTTATCATTTAGATATATAATTACATGCTTATATATTGCATGCTGCTCTTCAAAAAATACATCAATGCAAATGATAAAGGAATGGTATAGCAATGACATAAATTGGATGCCAATTTTGTCTTAAAATGTGTCTTTTAGTGACTTAAACAAATTATTCTCCTTTCATTGAAATCAGTAAGTTCAACTTGGATACCATTTTAAAAATCAGGCATTCTAAGTAAAGCAAGAGGAATATTGAAGACATTTTTATTTCAAAAAATATGTATGTATATATAAACCCCTGGAATACTCTTGAGTTTCTGGAGGGGGCCACCAATTTAGAGCTCTTCACGGCAGTGACAGGGTAAGTTCTTTCCAAAGGAGCTTGCCTTCCATGACTGCTACTTGTACCCATAGTCCTTACCTTGTCAATTCCTTCTTTGCTAAATTTACAACTGAATAATGAGGTCACCCACAGGGGCCTCCTTTTCTCCTAGGACTGTTGAAAACTGAGACTTTTTTTTTTTTTTTTAGTGTTCAAGCTGTGTCTCAAGCTCAGTTCTTATGATGACATTATGACACTTGGGATAAAAATAAAAAATGGCTTGTCTGTGATTTTATATTGAGTTTTAAGAAGCATATCTCAAGGTATTTTGACTTTTGTTTTGAGAGAATTTTTGTTAAACAGAATAGAATGTCTGTTTTTTATTCCTCTCTTGTAGATTTTAGTTGGTATACTTGTCTTTGAACAGATCATTTAAATGGTTCAGAGGTTTTTTTATGGTATGTAGTGCTATACATATCTTCAAGAGGTGGACACAGATGCATTCTTACTTGGGGCTTTATTTGAAATGTTGTCCTACTTTTGGAAAGTATTTCATTTTACATTAAAGGGAATTTGATCATACTTCCTGGTAATGTTCTAAATTTATATGCACAGTAAGAAGACAATAATTCTTTCAGAGGTGACATTGTATGAGCCTTTTGAGACTTGTCGAGTCACTTGAAGTAGATGTGGAGTTTCAGTTTAGCTTGCATGGAAAGCCAAGATCTATAAACATGAAATCTGACAACTTTTTGAGAGTGTACATACAGCTATGTATAGTTTAGGCCTGAGTGCTTAATTGATTCAATAATTGGTTCCATTTGGTCAGCCATGTTATTTGAACATTAATTATGCTCCTTTCCAGAAATGCAAGGGGTTTAAGTTACAGATTTCCTCTTTCCGCTTTACATTTGACTTCAAAGGATATAGAACCCTAACTATTCTCAAGGTTTAATACGTAAGAAATGTTGGAAGTGGGTGTATGAAACTCCTTTAATAAAACAAAAATGAATCAATATAGCTTATCTCATCTCTATTATTACTATTATTATTATTATTTCTCTGCTTCTAGCATGACCCTTCTTCCCTATAATGGTGGTATCTCTAATAGCAGAATTAATGTGGAGAATAAAACTTGCTAGGATTGGTATCTAGTCAAAGTTAATTATTATTTTGTGTGTGCCTAAATCAGTTTACAATGCCAAAAAAAAATCTACAACTTAAAGGAGATAAATATACGTACGTAAAATTCCCTTGAGAGTATATTGTCATCTTAATAAAATTTGAATCTGCATTTTTCTTTTCTTTTTTTTTTTTTCCGAGACAGAATCTTGCTTTATTGCCCAGGCTGGAGTACAGTGGCACAATCTCGGCTCACTGCAACCTCCGCCTCCCGGGTTCAAGCAATTCTTCTGCCTCAGCCTCCCGAGTAGTGGGGACTACAGGTATGTGCCACTATGATAGGCTAATTTTTCTATTTTTAGTAGAGATGGGGTTTCACCATATTGGCCAGGCTGGTCTTGAACTCCTAATCTCATAGTCCTCCCACTTCGGCCTCCCAAAGTGCTGAGATTACAGGCAGAAGCCATCACGCCTGGCCCTGAATCTGCATTTTCTATGATGATTATCTTCCACTTGGGAATGATGAAATCTGATTTAAGCTTTAAAACATTTTTAAGTATAGAGTTATAGCTTATTAAATTCAACAATTACATTTTATTGATTATATACTGGGTAGAATTACGTGTCATTTTAAGTTGAAGAGAACTCAAAGTTTACCACAAAATTTATATAGGACATGTGTGTATTTATATCTGTAAACTGAGACATTGGCTATATAAGGTTTATATTAACTGATGATAGATCCAAAACTAGAAGTCAGGTATCTAATTTAAATTCTAATTTTTTATCTCACACTGTATTTTTTTTAGCTCAAGGTGTTAGTAATATGATTATTGCATTTACATTTATTGAACATACACTGTGAGCTAGACGTTTTACTTAGACATCATTATATCAAATAGGACTTTATGTGTGTGATCTAACAATGATTTACTATTCACATTTATGCAAGAATTGCAAAAATGTATCCAAAGTGGTTAAGCCATGATCATTATAATAATCATCATAAGTTAATAAGTTAATATTAAAGAAGGCTAAAGAGCTAATTGGAGGTATGCTTATTCATTTACATCCATAGAAAAGGCTAAGCATTTATCTTTTTCCCCTCCCTGCACTCACCAAACAAGTGAGGTGGCATGAAAATAATTCTTTGGGAGGTTGAGAGTGATCATTTTCAAGAGGGAAAATTCATGTATTATCCTTGGCTCAATGCTTTCTGAGCTTCTGAAACTCTTATATAGACTTCAGACTTCTTGGGTGAAGTTCAAGAGAATTATTAATATAAACTGGCATATGTTCTTGGAATTTGTGGAGCTTAGAAACTGCTGCCTGCCTTTTTCTTAGAGAATTAATTCAGGATAAAAGAAATTAGAATTACGGAACTTGGTCAAAAGCTGAGTGAGAATTGTAACAGTTCAGCTAAAGGGTGTTATGTTTGCATCAAGGTATAGTATAGAGAGGAAAGTCTATCTAGTTAGAAGGTTGGGCTTGGCGTGTGGACAGAGTTGCTGGAACTACAACTCTGTAAAAAGGGCTACAAAAATAAGAAAGCAATGCTTGTGTATTAACATCACCAGTTACTATACATCAGGTATACTTTTACCTGTTATTAAGACTTTAATGTTTCCAACTGACTTCCTTTTTCCTTCTCTGCCCGTTGACATTAACAGTGTTAAAAGGGGTAGAATGCTTGGAGAAGAAAGTGTGTTAAAGGTATTAGCAGATTAAAAGAAAAAGGAAATTTTTCTTCCCTATTAGTGGTCTTTGAAATTAAATGTAAATAATCCTTCAAAAATGGACTTTCAAATAACACTTTCTCAGAAAGTAAAAAAAAAAGAAATCTAGTTTCATTTCATTTTCAACTTTGCTGAAGAATAGTGTTTTGAACTATTTAAGCTTTTCTGTTATTCTCACAAACCATAATATTTAACCACCCACATAAGGAAAAACAAAATCATGGAATATATGTATCTGGGGATTTGAAAGTGACCATAATTTTAATCCCATAAAATATAAGTGTGGGCAAATTAGTTTACAAATTGCATGAGTTTGCAAGTAGGACAATTGTTTTCTCCATTTTCACAGGGAATGGAATTAAATTGAGCCTTATCTATAGGATATAAATTTAAAAAAAGTAAAAATCCCTGCATGGCTTTCTTGCCTCAAGAATAAAGTAAAATTTAATTAAAGCATGGTATAGGAAAAATCATTAGTTGCATGTTGTTGTCAGCAAACATTCTATTTCTACCTAACCTATTTTGTGCTAGGACAAGAAGTTAAATTAAAATAAACAGAAAAAAATTGATCTTTCTAACATATTCTAAATAAAATATAGGAGTTTTTCCCCTTAGTGTATATAGAAGTTTATACAAAAAATACTGTTTTCTCCCAGCAAACGTGTTGAGACCCTAAGCCTAAGATAATTAAAGAAACAATTAGGTAACATTATGGGAGAAGCAAGATTTTAAACAAAATTAGTGTAACAAGTCAATTGCAATTTTATAACTGTTGTAAATATTTTTTGGTTCTTAAATTATAATTATTGGTTTAAGCTTGGGAATAAAATGATTTTTTAAAAGCAATGAAATAAACTAGAGGAGAAAAGAGAGGGGAAGGTATATTATGTATAATTCATTGTACAAAGTATAATTAGCCTGAGATATATTTAAAATGTGAACATTTTGTAAAGACAAGTATTCTGAACTATTTTTTATGATTCCTCTTGTGACCAAAATATGAATTTGCCAGATGGCCAGCTTCGTTTAAAGTTACACTCTCTGGTCATGCAACATAATGAGCTTATTTGGCACAAGAACATGAAATTTGTTGTTTGGTTTGATTGATATTGAGTCATCTCAGCTATCTGATCACAGGTAAAATACTATCGATGTCATGTCCTGCACAAAACTTAATGTAATGCTGCAGTCGGGTATAGCACTACTATTTGAACATTTTCTGTATTACTAGGTGAATATTGTTTCCTAATGCCAGTTTTTTTATTATTAGTTGATTTAAACCTTAGGCAAAGTTACCATCTTGTAAATTGTTTCGTATTTTTAGAGCATTTTGTTTCAGTCTTATTCATAAGATCATCTTTTTTCACCCAGCTTACATTTGTGAGTTTATCACTTAGTGTTTGCTGTGCAATGGAATGATTTTAAACAACATAATCATTTTATTTGTCCTATAAACCTTTTAGTCGGCTTCTGGATTGGGTTAGAGTAGCTATATGGGGCCTTCTCTTGTGTCTGCTGTTATCTGGAAGATAGACAGGTGGTTCACTGATGGTCTGGTTGGTCTCACTATTTGGTGGTCACTTGGCCATTAGAAATAGTGCAATGATTCTCCTCTATCTGACTTCTCATCTTCCAGTGACCTGGCTCAGGCTAACCACAAGGTAGTCTCAGGACTCTAAGCACAGAAAAAGAAGTAAAGCCCCAATGAACAACCTCTGTTCAAGCCTCTTTCTGTAGCATGTTTAATATTTTTATTGTTCAAATCAAGTTATCTGACCAATACAATCGAAGTGAAGTTTGAGACTGTAGAGGTAAGAAGATCCTTCTACATAGCAAGGGGTCATGCATACAAAGATGAGAGGAATTTGTGGCCATATTTGCAGTTTTACTACAGTAAGCAGTGCAGTTTTCTTAATTGTGAAAATTTAACCCTTTCCAAAGATTGATTAGATAAGAATAGATAAGAGTAAGGACTCAGATATCATGTTTATTTTACAGATATGCATTGTTGATTTGTAATATATAATGCTATGTGCAGTATATTTAACTTCTAGAAAAGTTCTGTAGGCATTGAAAAAGCATTTATTTTATTTGTATAATATCAAACTAAAATCATTTACCATAATATTGAACAAAATATGCTAATCTCCTTAGTATTTATTGCTTATAAGAAAGGCAAAAGCTTTAGTAACTGCTCAAAACCAAACAAAACTACTTAGGTACCTCTAAGTGGATAGTGCAACGTAATTGTCACGTTTTGCTTCTCTACACACATCAGTATGGATGATGTATTTTGATGCAAACTAAAATCTAAAAGCCAAAAGAAATGAAAATAATGAGCTCTGTTTATTTTTCCTCCCACAACTTACTATAGCATACCAGATGTATAGAGAAGACATGAAAAGTTTTTCAAAGATGTTACGTGTAACACAAATAAGGGAGACATCAGCCTGTTTACTAAGAATATATAGAAATTATTTCTGAAAAGGAAATTATCAAAACCTCTTTTAAGAGTTTCTTACATCAAGTCCTAGACTCAAGTAATTTGTTAAGCTCTTTTTTTCTCTATTTGCCTGTTCTCATTCAGAAAAAGAAAATTTATGGTGAAGGGATCAAGTAAAATTTCTACAGAAAAAAAGTCATTTCATTAAAAATGTATATTCCTACTACCAGAGGAAATATATTTACTTTATTTAATAACATGAAGTGAAGTAGTTGAATTGTCTACGCTTGTATATGTGCCAACAAATAGAAGAATATCTGAAACTGAGTAAGTAATAGCCTTTCCAAGCACAAACTACATAACTCTAAAAGAATAAGTAAAATATTTTATTTCCCACATGAAATGTTAGAGAGACTTATTAAAGGATGGATAGCTCTAAAGCCTTGAATCAAATTGATTGAGCAATCTTATGTTACAATTCTTGCATTTGAAAACTTAATTTGCTACTTACGTTTATGTTACTTAAAGGAAACAAGTTTTCAAAAGTCCACACTACAAACATTGTCTTCTCTTACTCCAGCAAAATTCTTTATCTGAAGTACACATTTTAATTCTTGATTCCAGATATCTTTCCATTATTCTTTCTATATTCTTCTGTAAAATTTTTACTTAGTTTCTAAATAGTTGTTAGAGGTTACTTAAATATTGTCTGCTCCCATACAGACATCAGACATAATTTTAGAAATAGAATGGACTTTGGAGATCACAGCTTTTAAAATTGTTTATCTTAAATGATCAAACAGCACTGTAGACTTTGAGAGAAAAATATAAGTGAAACTACAGAGTAATAGCTTCCACCATTTTCTATAATAACATATGGGAAACCCAATGATATTTAAAGCCAATTTATCCATAGTGAAGTGAGCTGCTCCTTATTTTATGGTTTCATTATCATTTGGTCTCTGCTTTACAATGTCTAAAAAACTAAGACATAAAAAAAAGAAAAATAAAAAAGCAACACATAAATATTTTATTAACATGATTCCATGCATACTGATTTTTTTTCTCCTTAATTTATTAAATCAGCTTCTGAGTCAGGGAGAGTGACCTTAAACCTCAGTGCCATGCAGTGGAAATGAATGTGCTACACAATAACTACTAACACTTCTACTTCTCCTACTATTACTACAAAGACTGTCTTTTCAGCACTGATCCCACACTATGTATTAGTGACTACACAAGTCACTTTTTACACACATGAAAACTTAAGCCAGCTACCCTGTGTCTTGGTTATCACCACACCCCACCATTTTACAGATGAGAAAAATGAAGTCCACACAAGCGAGATCACACGCTGAAGCAGAAACAGAATTTAAGCGAAAAAAGACTCCCGCTCCCAAAGACACTATGAAGTTTTGTATTTTAGTTTATTCTTAATTTAACTTTTTAAACACTACTGTAGTTGAATATCAAAACAAAAACGATCAAGTAGTGAGAATATTATGATTAATTCCTTTACTCTTTGCTACCGTATAAAAAACTGCCAGCTGTGAGTGTTATTCATTGACCTCTATTAATTATGCTGGTTTGCCTCTCAGAGGATGTTAAGGTACAGGACAGAGAAAATTATTTGTAGTATAAGGCAAATTGCCTATTTCTTACATGTCCTCAGTAAGATTTATGATCAGCCGAAATTCTCTCTGTTCTTTGTATATGCAGTTAATAACACATCATCACAAAAGGTCACACTAAGAAAATGCTGTTTGGATGAAGTCCTTTATAGTCAAACAAGAAAGGCAAAAAGGAAATAAAGCAAAGGTTTTTAGGAAGAACCTAATTCTAAGGATTTATTAGGCATTTAAGTAATGTGAAACTACACTCAATCCTGCAAAGGTAGATGATGCTCTTGACATAGCATGTCTGAAGTGTGTGTATAGGCAAATTCTATTAATCCATTGCGCATATGTAGAAATTCAGTTACTTTTATATTTTCTTATATCCAGTAAACTTTTTATGTTAACATATTAGCTATAATAGTTCTTTATATGGATTATTTTTTATACTTTAGATTCATGACTATGTGGCCTATAAATTAATAACAGTTGTATCTTTTTCTATCTAATCATTACCATTTATCATTTATTATCATCCTTACTAGCATATCCAGTATATTGATGAATAGAAATGGTGATCATTGCTATTTATATTGATCACCATCTCAAGAGTAAATATTGCAATGTTTCCAATGAACTGCGATGCTTGCAAAAATTTTTGTAGATAATCTTTATCAGTTTAGGAAAGTTTATTTCTATTACTATTTATCAAATCGTTATTGCTATTATTAGATGTTGAATTTTATCATATATTTGTTCTGTATCATATTATATCCCCAATTAATTTTTCAACTCTTAAAATATATTGAATTGTAATTATTGTTTGCATGTAATGAACCAGCTTAATCAACAAACTTCTGCTTTTTAATATTGTCTCTAATATCCAATTACTGTAATTTTTTCTTGAGTTCTGCTATTCTTTTTATTTTCTTCCTTCTATATGGATGATAAATGTCTTAAAAAGAATGAAAATGTACAAAATGTTTTAGTTATGTATAATTTTTTATAAGTAATTCCAGAAATGTGAATGCCATTGCATGTACCTCCACAAGGAAGGACATTATTTTCCTAGATTTTATATATGTTCATACTATTATATTAAAATAGATATTATCATCCAAAATTGTTTGAGTTGAGAGTTTCTTTGTCTTTGCTATACTTTATTTATGACCCTTAGGAAAAAGACATAATTTTGTTTGTGTAGAAATTTTCTTGTTGGTTAAGATACATTTTTGATTCAGAGAGGATTATTTCTTTAGGGTTTCATTGTCAGCAAGTGGTGGAGGTGAAGTTTACAGCCAAACCAATTTAATTCTAATGACATTATAATTAATACCTTTGTTGTGTATTTTAATTTTTGTTTTTGATGTTTGGCTATTACTATCTGATGTTGCCCATAGGCTATCAACCTGTTATTGACAACTTTTGAATGTGCCTCATAGTATTTACACTTCTACCACCATCATAATCCAAAGCAACTTCAAAAAAATGCTAACTATAAAGTAAAATACAAAAAATAGGAGTCCTTGGAAATTTTACCTTCCAATGTTTTTCATTTCTTTTCTAATTCTGCTACTCAATTTCAATACTTCATTTTGACCCTTGGCTTTATTTGAAGTGTTCAAAAATACACAATTGCAAACTCCCAACAACCTATTATGTGCACCCTGAACCATGCGTTCTTCTTGCTCTAAATGATAAAAAGTATTGTTTCATTTTTGTTTTAATAATACCCCTGTTTCTAAGATTTTTTCTAATCCTGGTATATAACCACTATTTCTCTACATTTTTCTTATCTATCCAAACTAAGTCACATAAAACATATTTTCAACTACTCTTTTAAAGGCATCAGTAATAATCTCATTCCATAATCTTTTTCTCCACTCCTGTCTATAACAGCATTATTGTGTGCTGTGTCTGCTTCAACACTTATGGCTACTAAGACATATAGGAGAAAGCCACACATGTATGAACATAGTTGTTTATATACACTGCTGGGTCTTCATATTTCCACACAAAATGTCTTACATGATCCTGGTCAACTCCACCTTACCTCTCTCCTGCAATCTCAGAGAAGTGCATTTTTTCTTTAGGTTTAAAGCAAAAAGAGTAATACCACTATGCTATTTCCCGTATGATCAATACTCCCATAAAAAATTCAAAATTTTTTCATAAAAATGTTTTTTCACTAATGCTGAACTTGTTCTTTCAAATGACTCTTCGCTGCATCTTTCAAACATATTCAGATTTTTTAAAACATAAAATACCCTTTGCTTACACTGTATTTTCATTTAGCTAACATCCTTAGCCTCTTCCCTTCAAAAAAATGAATTTATAGGGTAGTCTACATTTGTATTTTTAATTGCTTACCCAAAATTAGTCCTTCAATTGCACTAGAATTTGGCTTCTGCCCTCAGAACATTGTAATCATAGACACAAAAGTTATTAACAGCCTCCTATTAAAAATAATTAACATGTTCAGTGGTCACATTAATTATATCCTCTGCAACATTTCCAATTAGTGACTACAGTTTTCTTTAAAATATCTTTAGGATTCTCTCTAGAATTCTCCTTGCCTTTGTTCTATCTAAGTTTATTTTCTTGAACATTATTTCTTTACTTTTTTGCAAAGGCCTTTATCTCTTACTTTCAGCTTAAATCTTGGTGTCTTTCCTAGATTCTTCTCTTTTCTTCTATTTTACACACACACACACACACACACACACACACGCACACACACATATACTCACTTCACTCAGTTCAAATGCTACATTATAATTATGACATCTAAGTCTTAACTCCATTCCTGTCTTTTGCTCTACATTTAATGGCCATATATCAAAATTCACTAACGGCTATTTGCTGGTATCTCACATGTATCCAAATTAATTACATTTTATTGCATATTAACTCATCTTCAAAATCCATTACCTCATTGAAAATCACCGTTAGTTGAGTGTTCAAGCCAAAGAAACACAAGTCACCTTCACCAATTATGTTCTGGATTCTAGCAATGATATTCTAGTCTTCTAAACACCGTATCTGCTTGTAGTGCAGAAGTTTAAGCCACATATCTATCCTTAACTCTGTCATTAGGTAGACTCTTTTTAACAATTTAAAAATTATTTTGATACTATTTACTTATTATAAAAAGTATATCAGGGGTTCACTTCATCACAGGCAATAGTTTAAACTCCTTAGCATGATATACAAGTCCCCCATGATCTGAACCTTGCTCTTCTGTCTAGATTCATTTCCATACCAATTCTGCTAAGAATGCCTAATATTTCTATTCTATAAACAACCATTTATTTTGAAATCACCTTTCATTTACATTTATATAATAATATTAATAATAGAAATGTGCTATTGTATTTTTCTTCATGCACTTCTGTTACATAAGCTCCTTGAGGAATGAAATTAGATTGTGTTTGTCTTTTAATATCAGTAACTGACACAGTGAATATTCAAAAAACATACATTGAATAATTAAATTTTGTGCAGAGGAGACTTTTGGAACATAATATGGTCAGAAACCATAATTATAGATGGAGGCGGGTTGATTACCTGAGGTCAGGAGTTCAAGACCAGCCTGTCCAACATGGTTAAACTCTGTCTCTACTAAATATAGAAAAAATCAGCCTGGCATGGTGGCAGATGCCTGTAATCACAGCTACTTGGAAGGCTGAGGCAGGAGAATCACTTCACCCTGGGAGGTGGAAGTTGCAGTGAGCCGAGATCGTACCACTGCACTCCCACCTGGGAAACAAGGTGAGACTCCATCTCAAAAAAAAAAAAAAAATAGATAGAAGATAAAGTAAGACACAGTCAGTATAAGTGACTATAGTACACAAAGAACCATGTTGTGTTTTTGCTCTTTAGGAAATAGTAGGGAATTTGGAAAATGGCTTTATTTGATAAATTTTCGTGTCACTATGGTGGTGGCACTTTCTCCTCATCTCTGCTTATTTTATCTGAAATAATTATACTGGAAATGTGGGATTTTATTTTTTATGTTATGCAAATTGTCAGATTTGAATTGTTGACTAGTAGGAGTTGAAAAATGTGTAAATTAAAAACATGAGTAAAAATGGCTAGTTATGAGCATTAAATTCTCCTGTATCTTCTAAAATGTATTATATAAACATTTTACCTTTAGTGATTATTAATAACTATATAATATGTAAATTATTTTGAATTACATTTGACTTCTTTTGAAAGTGCAAGGTATAAACTTTAGTTCTGTTTTCATGGGAGTTCCCCATTCTTCTATGCCTAAAGCAAAAGACTACAGGTACCATAATACATAAAAATGCTTTCATATTTCTTTCCATTTCTACACACAAAAAGTCTGCATAGTGATAAATCAATGATATCAATAACAATGGAGTGCCAAGTGAATTCTTAAATACTGGCATCTGAGAATTTGGCATCAGATTTCATAAGACATCTTTTCATGTTTAACTAAAATCAGCAAATCAGATAAGGGGAAAGTTTCAAACTCCCTGAAATAAATTCTCAACAGTGTAACCCAGCTGTCAGCAGCAGACAGGGTCACAAGTTAGTTGGCTGAGTTGGATGTAGAAACTGAAAAGTGAGCAGCTGAGTTGAAAATGAAAATGCTCTGCTTTCTGAGAGGCAGAAAGGCAAATACAGCACTGTAAAAGGCTCAGGAAGTGGGATATGAGAAAGTACGGTTTTTACATTATGTAGCTGTGTTTCCTTCCGTTCTTGACATGAAGATACCATTGAAAATGAGTGTGCCATGCCACAGATTAGCCCACAATTCTCAAGGCTCTTGGAAAAGCACTGTAGATGATAACAGGAACCAAGGGGCAAAAAAATAATAATAATAATTGTCATGAAAAGATAAAATTTCTAGTGGATTAGATAAATCTTTATTGTGTAAATTTAAGTTAATATTGGGTTTAGCTGAGATCCTGTTATGATCTCTGAGATGTTATTCTTAATATATCTATATGGTGCACAAAGTACTAGTTGAAAAGCACAAATTTAGCTAAAATATGTTTTCCACTATGCATCAGAAAAAGTAGTTACTTGACTAAATTAAGCTGTTAACAATATCCAAATGATGCTTTGGATGTTCTTAGTCCTAGTGCACCTATTATATCATGAATTATATTGGTAGATAACTATGTCCTACAAGTTTAACAGTATCTTATTTTAAAATCATTTAAAATATCATCACTTTAAGCTAAATTAGTTAAAATTAACTAAGAATAACTTGAATACTTATATTCTGATAACATTAACATACATACTGCTTGAATCTCATTCACATCATGTCTCCAAATGGCTCAGAGCAGAAAATATGAGGTACTTTATTTATTCCCCTTCTAATATTTAGCATGTATATGTAAAATTAATGAATAAATCAATGCTAACCAATGTAATGATGATATTTAACAGATACATAATGATTAGAGGTGCTCTCCCTGTTAGGTAGAAGTTTTCAAAATCCTATTTTATACTTGCATTCACTCTTTTATTAAAAGTTTGAAGAATGTTATCTATTTAAGCAGATGAATGTTGGACTATTGAGTTACACATCTGCGTAATAAGACTTGGACACTGTCACTAAAAGGGGGTGAAGGAATGGATTTTCTTTATTATGGTTTTAAAAAATCTAGTCTATAGCAAGTGTATGCGACTTGATACAAGAAAGCAAAGCATGGTTGCCTTGTCTGGTCTCAACTGTGAGTGAACAGATGAGGAAACAAAGTTTATGTTCATCATTATCAGTCATTAGAGAATAGCATATTTAAACCACTACAATGGGAAAAATATCCAGTTCTATCTCTGTCAATAACTTCAACTAAAGTCCCTAGGCAGAATTTATGGAGAGCTATTTGAGAGGTGCGAAAAGAAAATTGTAAAAGGAAATTAATGAGAGGAAAATTGGAGGTACCAATGATCTTGTGGTGTGCTTTGTGGTTTACTCTCCTCCGGCACCTTTTGGCTTTTATTTAAAAGCAGCTCAAATCCCTGCATTGTGCACATATATGGTCAGAAAAACTTTAAAGTTTTATCATTCTGGTCCAGAATATCTGCAACTTGAGAACCATCACATAGTTTACTCAAATCACAGAATCCATAGCTCAGTCATTCACAGTGTTATTTTTCTTAGGTGTTTCTCTCAGCAAATGTATTCTTAGGTATATTAAAATGTTTTTTAATATTTTGTATATTTTTCTGGTTTTTCAAAAAAACTATTTAGCTCCATAGCTTTGGAGAATAACATTAAACATCTACGTTTTCACCATGTAACTTACGAAGATATAAAATGGAAAGTTCATGTTAACTTCCAAATCCATTTTCCTGCTTCCTACTTGAGATGTAAACCCTACCTTAATTGTTTTGAATCAGCCTCATGGCTATTTTATTCATACACATTTTTCTACATTATATTTTATAACTTGTTTGCATTTTTAACAATAAAATACAGGTATATGATTAAAAAAGTTGTTTACGATCTCTTTCTCTCTCCCTTTCTATTTTTCTGTCTCATTTCAGTGTGTGTAGAATGTTCCAGGACTCGACAGTAACAATTGGAATAAAAGCAATTCAGCTATTAACACAAAAATAAATAAATAAATAGACAAACAAAGAGGAGAATTTAATGGAAAATCTTGAGTTGTTACAGGATAAAATAAACATTAGGAACCAGAGCATATCCAAAGTCCATGTTTTTTATAATCGGCATTTTGAACTCCACTGGCTAGATTGCTTGCTCTCTCCTCTTTCTCTTTTTCAATCCTACTCCTGCTCCATTATTTCCCTCTACTTTCCTGTCTACCTTGCTTTTTCTACTGCAGAAGGACATTCTCCCAATAATAAGCATGTGAACATAGGTGGTTCAGGTTGACATCATACAACCGTTATTTATATTGCCATATTCAAAATCTTGCAGAAAGTCCTATTTGTTTACCTTGGATCAGGTGATATTTATTTTTTGACTATAAACTATATTTCAGCAGGAAAAGGGGAATTTTTTTTGGCCTGGTTAGGATCACTACTCTATTCCTATAGCCATAGGAAGAGGAATTGCTATTAGAAGCAGTGAGATGTAAAGACTGTGAATGGTGACACTATTGTAATATGTGCAGACAAACTCAAATTAGTGTAGTTATCTTGTACACTATTTGAGTTTATTTGAATATATTTATCTTGGTTCTTATTAGAAAAAATAGATTTTAAAAGGTTACCATTTTCTTGAATTCCTAAATACATTGATGGGCACTTCAATTGTTTTCATGTCTTGGCTATTGTGGACAGGCTGCAATGAACATGGGAATACAAATAACTCTTCAACATGCTGATTTAATTCCTTTGGATATATACCCAGAAGCAGGATTGCTGGATCATATGGTAATTCAGTTTTTAGGTTTGTGATGAACCTACTTATTGTTTTCCAAAATGGTTGTAACAAAAAACATGCTAAGTGAAATATACCAGACACAGAGATATTAATACCACGTGATCGCATTCATATGTGGAATCTAAAAAAGTGAAACTCATGAAGCTGAGAGTAAAATGGTGGTAACCAGAGGTTGATGCGAAGGGCGGATGGAGAAAAAAGGGACATAAGTCAAAGAGTATAAAGATTCAGTTAGGTAAGAATAGTAATTTCTGATGATCTATTGTAAAGCGATTTGATTACAGTTAGTAATAATATGTTGTATATTTAGAAACAGCTAAAGAATAGGATTCTAATTGTGCTCATCAAAAATAAATGATGGTGACAGAGTGAGATTCCATCTCAATAAATAAATAAGCAAATAAATAAAATTAATAAAAATTGTAAAAACTTTTTAGCCAAAATGTGCAATTATATGGCTTGTAAAACATGGTAACGTTTCTTGTTTCAGTAGTTATGACTCTTCTATTACTGTTTATAAATTATTCGGGGCATTTCCAATAATGCTAAATTATAATAACGTTACTGAAAATCTTTCTCTTCGTAATTTAAAGGAGAAAGCGTTATTGAATATTCTCTTGAGATATATTTATTATTAATCACCATTATATTTCCATTTTAAAGTTTTTTTTAAATTAGAAGCTGACGTTAAATTTTACTGAGTCTCTCCCTGAAATGTATTTATCTTCTAATTTGACTACTGATTTTGTTTATTTCATAGACATTACCTATTATTAAAGCATCCTTTTTATCTCATAATAAATCTACATCATTTTTGTTAATTATATGTGAAATATATGATTGAATTTGAATCACTGTTTTATGGTAAGAATTTTTACATCTATATTTTTATGTCATGCATTTCTGTAAATTTACTCTTTGTCTCATTTTTACATGTTTTTAATAAATGTGTTTAATTTGTTAATTTCTGGTATCAGGGTTATATTAGTTTTAAAAAATGAACAATATTTTTGTTCGTTTCCCAAGTTATTCAGCATTTATTACCTAGTTTATTTGTTTTCATGAGTGTTCTTTAGTTTCCAGATGATCTCAAACATTTTCTTAAGTAAACTCCAATAATCACTTTCATTTCCTATTTTGGGGTATTCTATAAAACTGCCATATACCAAAGTCTTATGCATTACAATTTAAAATTAGAATAAAATGCCGTATTCACTAACATTTTATGTTAATTTAAGCTCATGCTATTGAATAACATAATAGCAATTGAAAGTTAATGATAATCAGGGTAAGTAAATAATTTCTTTAGGGACATGTTTATATCCAAATCAAGTATTTCTTAAATTGCATTGAAAAAAAGAAAAGTTGAAGAAGACTTAGTCAAATAATGCCTTGAAGCCCTGCTGAAATTGTCTAGTTTCATAATTCAGGAGAGTGCTAAGTAGTCAGATTTTACAATTCCTCCAGCAGTATGTTTTTAAAAAGGTCTCAAACTATTTATCAAGGTTTCAGAGATTGAATATACATATAGAAACATAAAAATTAATTATGAAGAATTAAAAATAAATAGAAGAAAGCCCTCACTTTTTCCTATTAGTATTTATATCTAGTGTCATATAAACTATATATGACCATATGATTTATTTCAAAATATTGACCAAGCAAAATTGTATTTGCTAAACTTTAAAATTGTGCACATTTTTAAAAAATGCACTTTTATTTTCTGAAATGTAGGCTATGTATATGTATAATTAAAATAATCCCCTCAAAACCTCACACTTCTGACTGTTTAGAAATTACATTTTCATTGCAAGTATATTAATTCCTGTGGTGATATTGCAAAGTTTCACTTTTTGTGGTATATTTTCTAGTAATAAAGTTGAAACACATTACCTGCAGTAGGATATTAATAGTATGTTTTTACAATTCATGATAATTTTTTTAGGTATAACACCATTTTTCATGCTAACTTACCTGCTGTGCTATAAAACATTAGGCCTATTTCTTGTAACACATTATTTTCATTTATAACTCAGACAGGTGGTTTAAATACCTGATTTTCTCTCTTAGGCTTTTATATATTAGTGTTCTGTTGAAGAATAGGCTTTCCTACTGAATAGAAAATTAAGTAGTGTATGCATCATAATCGTAAATGACAAAGTAAGACAATAAAAATAACATTTCTAAATGTTAAACGTTTGGAAAAAATGGAAAGTTTTTAATAAAGAGATCATAGAACACATTTGTATTAGTAACAAAGCTTATTTTCTATGGAGTCCAGTTAATTTTTATAACAGTTGATGTTTAAGATAGTACATGTTATTAAATGCATTACCTATATTTATCTCATTCTGAAAGTATTCATGTTACTCTCCATTGCATTCAATAAAAGAAAAAATCAGGATGGCTGGGAAAATTAAATCTGTTTTAATTTTTTTTCCAATTATTTACTATGTATCCACATTTTCAGAAATAAAATCATCAAGTTATATTCATGTGTGTATATATATATGTTTATATGTGTGTGAGTATATATATATTTAAAACAAACACTTGCTACTATGTAAATAAGTCATCGTCATCTCTCTATATTTTATCTATGAATATTGTTTCTTTCTTTGTTCTTCATCCTTTGTTCTTCTACCTGTATGTGACCACAATAATTTGCCTTCCTTACGTGTTCATATTTATAATAGTGTGATTTTAAACCAGTCAATAACTGGAGAAATGATCTTTGGGAGATGACAGTGGGTACTTAGTCTGTGGGTTATTTTTTTGCTCATTTTGAAGCTATGCAATTACCTTTAGGTTTTCATTTTACGCTTATAGGACAGCCTCTTTTGCATTTGAATGAGACTACCTGTAATGTGGCAAATGGAATGAAAAATGATTGATGCATGGTCCAAACAACAGAATTTTTTTTTCCTTCAGGGTACAACTTTTATTATTTGAGGTCACGACAGTGAGTCCCTACTAAGGCAAAGCCTACGAGCCCTGGGAATGGGACTGCCACTGGAACCACGAAACTGTGGAATCACTGGCAGCATGCCAGACTTGCCTAGGAAAACTTCAGGCACTGGACTTCAACACTTGTGAGTAGACATATACACTTCACCCAGCAAAGTCATAGGGGTGGGGCTGCCTGAGTCCTTGGGAGCCTAACCCCCACCCCAGTATATCCAGGAGGTGGTACACAGTGTCAAATATATTATTCTCCAGCTTTAAGATTTAATATGTGTCCTACAGTGTTTTGGACTTGCTTGGGGCCTATTACCTTTCTTTTTGCCTTTTCTTTCTTTTGGAATAGGGATGTCTACCTTATGCCTGTACAACCATTGTACCTTGGAGGTAAATAAGATGTTTTGATTTCACAGGCTCACAGATGAGACTCTGGACTGTGGGCTTTTGAGTTGGTGATGAAACAAGTTGAGACTTTAGGGCTATGGGTTTGGAATAAATGCATTTGTATGAGAGAAGGATATGAGTTTTAGGTGGCCCAGGGTAGGATGATGTAATTTGAATATTTGTTACCTCCAATACTCATGTAGAAATTTAGTAATCAAGGTGGCGGGGCCATTAAGAGGTGATTGATGAGGGCTCAGCCCTCATGACTGGGTTAATCCATTCATAGAATAATGAAATAATGAGTTAATGGATTAATAGGTTATCATGGGAGTAGGACTGATGGCTGTATAAGAACGGGAAGAAAAGATCTGAACCAGAATGTCCAAGCCTCTCATCATGTGAATACCTGTACTGCAGGGACTCAGCAGAGTACCCATCAGCAAAAAGGCCCTTACCAGATTTGGCCTCTTGACCTCAAACTTCTCAGCCTCTATAACTGTAAGAAATAAGCTTCTTTTCTTAAGAAATTACCTAGTTTCAGGCATTCTGTTATAAGCAACAGAAAGCAAACTAAAAAAGAAAATTGAGGGACCTGTTTATCCTTTGATAGGGGAGACCACATTATATAGATTGTGGTCCCCTGCTCACCCAACTGGGTTAACTACTATATCAGACTCACTTCTATGTTGAAGTTATTTGTGGTGCTGCTTTACCACTGTTGCATTTTGACTTTTTCAGGTTTCTGATAAGCTAACTCTGGTCATACCACAGTTAGTGCTTTACACTGTTGCATTTTTACTTTGAGAAAAATCATTACTGTGTGTTTAGGTTTCCTGGCTATTTGCATTTATGGAAAAGTTTCTCAACAATGAACCAATTATCTGACTCTTTTGCTTTCACCTTCTCCAAGGCTACACATCCCACTTAATAAGGCAGTTTGGTTATTAAGTGCAGGTGTTCTCAGAAAAAAAAATGGTCTCACTTACGCTTCTTAAAGAATAATGGCAAATACAAAAGGTTGGGAAATTATAGGAGCTACATGAACCAGCAGTAGAATTTGAAGATTTTTCTTGGCCTTCCTGAGCACCATTCTTTCTTCTAACTTCATCCACACGCTCTGCTGGGCACACTCTCTGGATGGCATCCTGGAAAAGAAGAGTCTTTAGAGATTCCAACTTAATTCTAATTAAGTTTTTTAAAAACGATTTTTCTCTCTTGCCCTTGACTATCCCAGATAAAACTGTTTGTTGATATTAGGGGATGACTGATATAAGGTGAACTTCTTGGAATAGAGCATCCAGATTTCAGGCAGTTGGAGAGAGAACCCCAAGGTGTCTGGGGAGGGACTGCATTAGATTCCTGGAGGGAGTATGTGGGGGTATGGATAGTATTAGTAATTTCTGTATTTTAAATCTGTCCCTGAAGGCTTCATCTCACAGGAAGATGCCTTCATGGAACTTTCTCAAAGTCTCATGGGTGCTTCTGAGTTTAATCTACTGCTATGTATTCTATCTCATTAGTCAGTTCTGATAATGAGACCGCAGTAGGTGTCCTCAGCTCTTTCAAGTCTTAGGCATAACATTTCTAGATGCTTCCTTGTATTGATTCTATTCAAATAAGGAATATCACCCTACTGATGATGTCAACAAACAGGACCCAATGGACTGATTTTCCTCAGGCACTTCCTCCCAAAACAAGAATTAGACTCAGTTACTCAGACTGACCTGGGAACCCTAAGTCTCCCCAACCAGCTAGCAGGCTCCATAACATTGCACATTGAAGGCACTGTCAACTTTTGCCCCTTATTGCTATATGCCCCACTGACGGGTTCCAACAGTATAAACAATAATTGTTTCATAGACAACATCTGTGCCATTTGGATTATACTTCTTATTTAGAGGCCAGGTATTGTCCTGCCTTCTCAAAAACATGGTGACTTGCACCTTAGGTTTGGCTATGAGAATATTTAAGGGAACACCACTGGTAATTTATATATTGCTTCCATGACTACAGAGCTCTCTCTAAGATAAGTTTTCCTTCAGTTACTCAGATGAGCTTCCTGGAGAGAAAACCAACTCATTATCTAGGCATATCATGTGGGAAATTTTACCTATCATGTTAATGATTCAATTAAAAAGGTGATACGGATGTGCCCCTAGCTTTACCTGAAGTGATCAATGACATTATCTCAGCACTGGGAGACATTACTGTTAGCTTCAGCTCATTGCTCAGGGTTCCTACAGATGATTGAATTCTCCTAGAATTCCTTCTTGCAAGCCAAGACAGAATCAGTGCTAATATATGCTGCTGTATCTTCAATAGCGCTTAAAATAGGTAGAATAGTCAACATACTAAAAAATAAAGCCACCTGACTTTTTAATAGTTACAAGTCAGGGTTCCTATAGATGATTGAATTCTCCTAGAATTCCTTCTTGCAAGCCAAGACAGAATCAGTGCTAACGTATGCTGCTGTGTCTTCAGTAATGCTTAAAATAGGTAGAATAGTCAACATACTAAAAAATAAAGCCAGCGGACTTTTTAATAGTTATATGACTTATTTGGCTAGTTAGATCAGGGTGCAGAGAAGCATACTTAGGTGCAATACTGCGGGTTGGTCCCTTTCTATGCCCAAAGTCTTACTGACAGTAGCTTTAATAAGGTGCTACAAACAGAAACCAAATGGATTTTACATTAATTGGTGTTAGATTAATCAGAGAGCCCGATGAAGTGATAACATGGGGAATTTCACCAAGGACTTGAACCTTGTGGAAACCAGGAATTAATTGGTTGGGAAAAAAATTAGTTTGGCTATTTTCAGTTTTCTGCATAGTAGAGGTCTTTTAAACAGAGGGCATGTTTGAATACCAAATATATCTTAGAAGATGGAGATAGTGTCTTCCTAAATATAGAAATCTCTGAAAAGATTTGGAAATATAATAACTCGCTCTTTCCCTTTCCTGGAGACTTACACTTACATGCCATAAAGTAAACCAATTGCTTAGAGGAAATTTGCTTAGTAAGTCATGTTTTCTTTTGGAGAAAGGATGAGAACATGTATAAACAACCTATAAAAATCTCAGTCTTCTAAAATTCAGAATCATATGCTTAGGCAACATACCACCTTTATTTGAGCTGCCCTGTGAGGATTGAGATGTAGGGAAGCCGCACTAAGATACTACTCTGACTGCTGTTTTTGCTGTAAGAAACAGCCTGTATCCTGACCCAGGGCTATGGAGTCTTCTTTTATTATATGTTATATAAAACATTGGCAGGCTAACTTTTGAGCTTTCAAGTAAGGTAGATTCAGTCCTCTCACACTCACTGAGCTGACTCTTAGAAATTTAGATTGAGTGTTATTTTGAGATTTTATCTAAGTATAATGCTCTCATGGATGATTATGGGAAAGAATCTTGAATGATAAGCTCCACAAGGCTTCCAACCAAGTATATACTTTACATACATACATTTATATATATTTCCCTATATCACTACTGAAAGTTGACCTGGAAGCACAATAATCAATTCTTATATAAAAAATTTTCAGATAAAATTAAGCATAATGAAGAAATAAAACATTAGTTTAAGGAAGAATATATAGAAAATACTTGAAAGAACTGACCGACTGAACATTGTGGAAGGTTAGGAAAAAAGAGGATGAGTTATCACAGAAACATAAGGAACAGAAAGTCTCTGACATAAGAGAATTGCTAACTATATGTCATGTTTCACACAATACAATGTCAAGTAATTAGCTACAGGATTTGAAAAGGAGTAGGTTGTCAGTGACTTTAAAAAATGCGTTTTGAATGATAGGAATAAAAACCTGATAATATGATAAGAGAAAAAGAGGGAGCTATAAAATAGATGTCAAACTTATAGCTAGCTGATAGTTCACTGATATTTTCCTGTGGTGGGGAGCAGAGAAATGAAACAGTGTTGGAGAAGAATATGGCATCAAGGGACTACCATTTTAAGTGTGGAAAGAATTTATGCTCTTTAAATGCTCAGTGGAAAGGGAAAAAAATATGATAAAAAAAATGAGGGATTAAATAAAAGAGTGAAATTGTTGTATAAGCAAGTATGAGACATGAATCGAGGCTAAGATCCAAGTTCTCTTTGAATATTTAATAGAGAAAATCACATAAATGTTATTTCAAAGAATTAGCACTGTATACTATATTGAATTAGTGATGAAATACTGATGAAAAAGACATAAAGGCCAGAAAGAGCCTAATATGCATATTGCATTGGTCTGAGGTGCTCTGTAATGATTTCTTGGTCTAGAAGTAAACATAGTAATGCAATATGGTTCTAGGTACATGGAAACTACCATCAGAGAAAGAACACTCCCATCTCGAGGGAGAGTTTTAATAAGGTACACATTATCAACTTATTATGGATCATCTAAGCTGTTTTCTTATACAAGGTCTTATGATCAATGGTAGACTACAAAAATGAATATAAGAATACCTGCTCTTAAGCTTATTCTTATAATCTTTCATCCCATTATGTTTACTTTATCAATTGATATTGAGATTTACCACAAATTTATAATTAAAATTAAAATTTAACTCAGGAACAAAAAGATAAGCAACTGAATTTAAAAAGGAACAAATATTTGAATAGATATTTCCCAAAAAAAGTTATACTAATGGCCAATAAGGATAGGGGAAGATGCTCAACCTCATTAGTCATTAGAGGACTTCAAATCAAAACCACAATGAAATAGCACTTCAAATACACCTGACCAGTTGTAATGACAAACAAAATGGAAAACAATGTTGGCAAGAATATAGAGCAGTTGGAATCATGTTCATACATTCTGGGTGGAAATATAAATGGGCACCGTCACTTTGTAAAACAGTTTTTTTCTCTAAGAACTGAACTTAGAGTTACCTTGTGACTCAACATTTCTATACCTAATTATATATAAGATAATTGACAGCATATATTCATACAAAAACTTGCTCATAAATATTCATAGCAGCATAATTCATAACAGCCAAACAATGGAAACAACTCAAAAGTTCATTATTTGATGAATAGCTAAATAAAATATTACGTATCGATGCAACAGACTAGCATTCAACCACATAAAATGGAATAGAGTACTGATATATGCTATAACATGGATGAATTTGGAAAACATGCTAAGTGAAAGAATCCAGACTCAGAAGTCACAGACCGAATGATTATATGTAATATCTAGGATAGGCAAATCTGTAGACACAGATGGTAAATGAGTAGTTGCTCAAGGATGGGGAAGGGGAAGCTGGAGATCCAACCTTACTTTTGGGAGTAATGGAAATGTTCTAGAAATATATAGTAGTATTGATTGTAAAACATTTTGAAAATACTACAAAACCCTCAGTTATACACTCTAAAATAAAACGGTGAATTTTATGTACATGAATTTATCTCAAAACTATATAAATATTAAAATATACCATTTTATTTAAATCTTCACCTTAAATTGAGAAAAATTTTATTTATTATAAATTAAATTCATATACAGGGAAACATGAGTAAGTTTGGAAGATTAATGAGTGAAAAATCTTGGCATAGGCATTTTTCTGTTTATTATTCTTCTCTATCATTGCAGTAACTGTAACTAGCTGTTATCTCTTGAAATTCAGTTCAATTAAACTTTATGGCCTCGATAGTGGCAATAGTTTCGAGTGTATACTTATCCCCAAATTCATCAACCTGTATACATTAAATATATACAGCTTTTTACATGTCATGAAACCATTTCAAAGTAGTTTAAAAATAAATCTGAATATATTTACCTGTGCCAATTACTGTGATAGGTATTGCAAATCAATGACAAATTTACCAGGAGCTTGCCCTTTGAGATGTTCACAGCACAGCAGCCACAGCAAAAGACACAAACGTGGGTGAGGAGAGTCCCACATAGAAAAGTAGAGTTATTTTGACAGTTATTCATGTGGACATATTTACTAAGAAGTAAGATCTGAAAATGATGCAATTTGAACTAAAATTATGTTTATTTACTAGTGTTTGTTTTTGGTTAATTCAAGGCCATATAGTCCATGGATTATATAGTATATAATTATATATACAGATATGATTATGTATAGCATATATAATTGTATATTCTCATATACAATAATGCATATACAATCTTATGATTATGTATTTATAATTGTATATCTTATACACAATTATGTATATGCAATCATATGTCAATATATCAATATACAATTGTATGTACGCAAATATGTGATCATATATACATTATAAATATATAACAATATATAATTATATATGCTATACATAATTATATCTGTATATATTATATAAAATTAAATATAATAACATATACTATATAAGTATATATAATTCTATATATACTTATGTATATATGTGTGCATATATATGTGTATATATAGCTATACATATATATATATTTAGAACTGACTCTGGTTCTGTTTTTGTGCATCTGACTTTCTATTGTATTTATATATTCCCCAAAATTTGTTCATGTAAATGTTATTTTTCAACAAAGGTAAGTATATACAGGTTGTTTCCTCTTGAAGGCAAGACAGGGTTTCTGGATGAGGTTTCTCAGAAAGGCTACCCATTTAGTAGTCTTTCTTTATTCTGACACAACTTACAAAATGAATTGAAAAACAAAAATCAATGTATTCACTGGAAGATGTTATTTTTAAAATCAATCTATTAATGATCTATCAAAATGCACCTGATCGTTCAATTTAAAGGATTACTTGTATTCAAAGGAACTGTTGATTTCACAATATCCAGCATTATATCATAACATATTATCTGGTCATTTATTTCCCCCTCCCAAATTAATTACCACACATTTGTGGATTTATGTGTGTATAAAATCTAGCTCTTGTTTTTTAAATTTTTTCTCCTATGTTCATATCCTTTTCATTTTTCCCTCTACAAATTAATTATTCTTTCCCTCTGATTACTTAGAGCTTTTCTATTTAAGTTTCTTCTTTGGCATTGTAATTAACTTTTGCAAAATATCACAATGTAAATGGTTTCATGTTCTGTAACCATTGTAATAGTCTACCTTTTCATGGTCCAGTTTTACAGACCTATATACTAGACATGACACTAATGGTAAGTCTCAAGTGACCAGACAAGTTGGTCTTCAGCCCAAAGACACAATTTAGAAAGTCTTCATTTTACTGATACTAGAAGTATGACAGATATATTTTGATTTTTTTGGCTAGAATTAAAGCATAAGCATGTGAACAGCATATAGTAACTTTGATCAACTTACTTATTTTTTTACTGATGCTAAATAATGTTTATTGAATGCATATACTATTAACACTAGTACAAATCAAACTGTAAAGACAGCTCTAAATGTCAGAAATGTATCTTAGATAATATGTATGCATCACTTAATAAAATATAATAGAGACCTATATCTTACATATAGCAGGGAAATGGTTCTGGATTTGAGACACCATTTTCATTCCTCAAGCCCTTTCTGCCTTTTAGAAGCAAATTCTCTGATTATTCAGATTGCTCTTCATATTTCACATGAGATGAATATTAAATAAAAAGGCAAAAATCCTGTCTATAAGGCTGTAATCCTGGATATTTGGACTCATGAAAATATACTAAAGCATCCCAACAGAGTAAGCAAAAATTAAACATTGTATTGATTGCTCAAGTGAAGTTTCTCATTACACTTTTGCTTTACCTTCCATGCTAAGAAGTGTGCTTTTTATTTGATAGCATATTTTTATTATTTACAAAATGTCAGGTGGTTATAGGAGAAAAATGTGGGGAGAAAAGGCACACATTTTATTTACGTTTCAACTGCACAGGGCTATTTCAATCTGTGCTGCTGCAAGTTGAAGATCCATTATACCAAGTTATAATTATTAAGAGAGATTAAAACACAATAAAAAAAATTTGAGAAATGTCATTTGATGTTATTCTGTAGGAATAAATTCTATATTCTAAACAAAGCTGTTTTATTTTAAATATTAGTTAACAATGCTTCTCAATTCTTAAAATTTAAATACAATGTTAATTGTTTTAAAGTAAAATTTTCTTTCTTGTTAAAAAAAGATGTGTAATTTGTATGCATCTAATGGATTAAGTTTCATTGTTCAAGCTCATAAAAAATTACTGAAGTTATTTCCAAAGCTTAAGCTCAGCTAAGATTGGGTAGAAATGATATCTTGCTGTTTTCATTAAAGTACTTCATGCTCTTGTTGTACTTCCTGAGGCATGTA
Source organism: Homo sapiens (assembly GCF_000001405.40). Lineage (NCBI taxonomy): Eukaryota > Metazoa > Chordata > Mammalia > Primates > Hominidae > Homo > Homo sapiens. The sequence goes on along the minus strand of NC_000007.14, from coordinate 119,382,997 downwards.
CTTGCATCCATATGTATAGGAGCAGCATGTGGGAGAGATATTGACAGCATGGTTAGTTTAAGTTTAGAATTCCTTGTCATGTTTTCTGTGTGTCTGCATGTAGTGGATTTTGGAAATGATTTTTGAGTCATGTGCAAGATTGCTTAGTGTTGAAATTACCACAGCAAGAATTCACAGTCTGGCTTGTTTGCTGTTACTGACAGAACCTGTGGGTTCAAGAGTGTAATGCAGCAGATATTAAGTATCAGTCACTTATGTTTTTGTAATGCTTTCAATATTTAAAAAGAATCTTGTCATTATTTAGTTTTATCTTGAGATTTATACTTTGTATGTTCTGAAATTATCCCTATTCTTATTAGTAAAGCAATAGGAAGTTGTTGATATATGTTTTTTAATATCCTTTCCAATTAGAAAATAATTTTCAGGTCTCTGTTTAATTGAGGAACAACAGGGAGAGACTTAATACTTCCTTGTAGAAGATGAGTTTCTATCTGGGAAAAAAAATATATTTGTTCTTTTCAGAAAACCTTTCACTGACTTCCATTGACTTCTGCAATGATTTAATTTTTCTATATGTATGTTATTATACCAAAAGAATGCTATAAATTTTATACTGCATTAAGGTATAGTTTTATTATTGGACCTTCAAGAAGTAAGGCAAAAAAATTATTTTATTTGCAAATAATCTGAGGACAGATTATGTTCTTGAAAACAAAAACTATATCTGGGAGAGAAAGCCTAGAAGCCATACTCACAGAAAATCCCTAATATTTACTCCTGACCAAAAGTATCAAAGCTTCTAGAAAATATGTAATGCAGGGTAGGTATTAGTTTGGAAATTTACATCTGGGGAAAAGCCAAGATAATGGAAGCCTATACACATAAAATATAGTTCCATGGCTATGTTAGCACCCTGGGAAACTGGATAAAGATGTCTTGGATGATATATGAAATGAGACAAACTTTACAATCCTGGGAAAAAAACGATATAGTAAAAGACTATATCTGCACTTTTACTGCTCTTTAAAGTTCCATTTTCTCTGCATTAATTCATTAAATCATTCAATAAATATTCAGTCACCTTACATGCAAGACTCTATTATAAAATTTATAAATACATCAATAAACAAAATAGAACTCCTTTTATAGATCTTTTTGATTATGATTATATTCTAAACTTTTTCAAACTCTTCCAGTTGGGCCAGTTGAGATAGAATCACTTTCTTTTTCAAATTTGACAGGAATATTTGACTAATAATCACAGAGATAAAGAAAACAATAGAGAAAATATGTGATGAGGAACTGGTCAGCTACTTTTCTCTTAATTAACTGAAACATTTACCAGTTAAAAATCCTATAAATTCAGGATCCATTTCTGAAACATGAAAATTCCTTTTGTTCCCTTAGGGATCAAGTTTGGTTTCTAACCCATGAATCATCACTTTAGGGATCACTTGCTATTTTTCTCCAAACATTAACTGACAAGGGTTCCCAGACATATCAGACATACATGAAAAAAATATGAGAATAAAATATACAGAACTTTTCCCTACATATATGTATGTGTGTGTATATTTCCGTTGTGTGTATATAAATGTGTGTGTATGTGTGTGTATATGTATATATCTACATATATACATGTGTGTGTGTTTGTGTGTATTTGCTGTTAAGCTTGAATCTTCAATTTGGCATGATTTTACAATATGGTAGACATTTTGTGAAAGTCATATCATTTATTTGGTTGGTATATTTGTTATATCACATAAAGTTCTTAGCACAACCCAAGCTCCAGGTATATAGACATACCTTGATACTTACATGGTTTTCTTATTTTTGATTGCTCACTTATACTAAAGATGATTATATCTTTAGATGATTATACATTAGTGGGTGACACTAATAGTCCACATTGATATTTGGTATTTGCTGCTGTGTAACAAATTACCACAAAGTTAGCTGCTTCAATGGCACTCATGTATTAGATCATAGTGTCCCCGGATTCTCTCCTCACAGTCTCATAAGAATAAAATCAAGCGGTCATCTAAGCTACATATTCATTTAAAACTAACAGTGTTCTTCCAAGTTTACTGATTTTGGCCAATTCATTTTCTTGTGTTTGTTACTCCATTTATGCCTGAGGTTGCAATTTTTTTAAATTTTTGCCATCAGACATAGGCAATGACCTTGAGTAGTGGGATAGAAATAACACCCACATGCTTGGCGTTCCAACAATGGAATACTAAGCATAATTAAACTAAGACCCTCATTTCCACATTGGCTATTATGAGGGGTTGCCCTTAGTTCTGAGAGGCTACCCACATTCCTCGCCATATGACTTTTTCATTTTAAAGCCAGCAGTGGAGAATCTCCATCATGCCAAATTATTCTTCTACTTCGAATGTCTTTTGTTAGAAACATCTGCACTATTTTTAAGGTTCACACGACTAAGTCAGATCCTCCCAGGACAATTTTCTTTCCTTTCAACAATACCATCTAATCTAAACCAATCTAATCTAATATATTCGAATCTAATCCAAACATGGGATGGCTATTCTAACAAATTACCAATTCTCAAGAGTAATACAAAATGTGTATATCATAGAGCAAGAATCTCGGGGCTACATAGGAGATCCTGAGTCACCTAAACATTGGTAATTTTATTCTTATTTTTATTATAGGGGATATTTTTAATTTCATATGCTTTAATCTAAGAACTAAGTTCAGTTCGGGCTCAGTGGCTCATGCTTGTAATCCCCAACACTTTGGGAGGCTGAAGCAGGTGGATCATGAGGTCAGGAGTTCGTGACCAGCCTGGTCACCATGTTGAAACTCAGTCTCTACTAAAAATACAAAAATTAGCCTGGCACGATGGCAGGTGCCTGCAATCCTAGCTACTTGGGAGACTGAGGCAGGAGAATTACTTGAACCAAGAGGCTGAGGTTGCAGTGAGCCGAGATCACACCACTGCACACTCCAGCCTGGGTGACAGAGCAAGGCTTAGTCTCAAAAAAAAAAAAAAAAAACTAAGCTCAAAAAACTGCATGCCAATTATTTAAAAACTCTAGGCTTGCTGAAATAAATTAGACCTAATCCTTGCCCTCAAAGAAATTACGAATTGGAGGCAAGAGTGATGTGTGGAAATAAAAGTAGGCAATGTAAAGTAAGTGCATTAACAGATGTGCCTAAGAAAACCTAAGAGAGCATCAAAAAGGAGGGATGACTTGACTCAGACATTAGGGCTGGACCCCTTTTGGGAGCTGAGCCTTTAAGTAGAGAAAAGAGAAAAGAGAAAGATTGTGGCATTTAGCAAATCTGACTAAAAAGTTCAGACTGATTTTTGTCAAGTCATGAAGCTACCTTAATGATTCAGCCATTCACTAATATTTTTTGTGCACTTTCAGCTAAAGAAATCTTTAATATAGATTGATCCCTTATTTTTTCCATCAGTTATTTACCTGCCAAATTTCAATTTTGCCTAGCAAACTATGAAGAATCTGACACCTGCCTTTGTAACTGGTTTCATCTCATGTGGTCACTTTGTCCTCTGTCTACCTGCCACTTTTTCATTTCTCAACTATATCATTCTCTTTCAAATGAGAATATTTGAATGCATTCATTTTTCTTCCTGAAATGCTTTTCATATTGAGAGACAGGACGAGCTGGATTTCCTAGGCCGACTAAGAATTCCTAAGCCTAGCTGGGAAAGGTGACCATACCTACCTTTAAACACAGGGCTTGTAACTTAGCTCACACCCAACCAATCAGGTAGTAAAGAGAGCTCACTAAAATACAAATTAGGCTAAAGCAGGAGGTAAAGAAATAGTCAAATCATATATCACCTGAGAGCACAGAGGGAGGGACAATGATTGGCATATAAACTCAGGCATTCGAGCAGGGAGCAGCAACCCCCTTTGGGTCCCCTCCCATTGTATGGGAGCTCTGTTTTCACTCTATTAAATCTTGCAACTGCACACTCTTCTGGTCCCTGTTTGTTACAGCTGGAGCTGAGCTTTCACTCACCATCCACCACTGCTGTTTGCCGCTGCCGCAGACCCGCTGCTGACTTCCACCCCTCTGGATCCGGCAGGGTGTCCGCTGGGCTCCTGATCTCAGCAAGGGGCCCATTGCATCTCCAGATAGGGATAAAGGCTCGCCATTGTTCCTGCATGGCTAAGTGCCCGGGTTCTTCCTAATCAAGCTGATCACTAGTCACTGGGTTCCATAGTTCTCTTCTGTGACCCACGGCTTCTCATAGAGCTATAACACTCACTGCATGGCCCAACGTTCCATTCTTTGGAATTTGTGAGGACAAGAACACCATGTCAGAGAAAAAAGGCCTGCCGCCATCTTGGGAACAGCCCGCCCCCATCTTGGGAGCTCTAAGAACAAAGACCCACCTGTAACATCATGTCTTCTACCACCTTGCTAGTCAATTCTTACTTATTCTTCAGATAGATTTGAGAGTTGAGACTTAATAGTTAGTGACTGTTTTCCTGTTTAAGGGTATAATCTCCTGCTTTGGTATTCAACTGAAAATAATTGTGTTTCTTGTTTAAATATAAAAAAATCAAGAAAATAAGAGATCATATTTTTTCTTCAGTTCAATATTTCTAGAATTAAGGTAAGTTTTCAAAGAAAATATTGAATTAATGGATTAAGGCATGAATGAATGGATGGGTATATGAATGAGCACATTTTATCCATTAAAATTAAGCTACTTGGAGTGACATACCAGAAATGTCATTGCTTGGTTTTATTCAGCGTTTTCCATTTGTTAGTTTTTATGAGTTAGTTATAGAGGAAGTTCTTTTACTAGGACAATGAAGTCCAACTCTGGCCATGTGAGCAACAAATATATCACATATATTGGCATATCTCTTTCACTCTAATTGTACATGCAATCCTGCTAAGAACAATAAATAATAGCAAACATTTATTGCATGGCACTGTGCCAAATGAGAAGTTCTTTATATTGCTCAAAAAAATCTCCTCAGCATACATTTAAGATACAAACATCTTTAAAATTTGGGATTATTCACAATTTGTGAAAGTGAAATCATCACTACCTTTCTTACATGCTTTTTAAATTCAGGTGAATATTACAGTTTTTGTGCTGGTATATGTTTTCCATAGCTAGGTGATTTCTTCCTGCCAGACACAAAGTCAGTAGTCACTATCCCCCTTCAGTCTTAAATACTGAAAAGTATCATGTGGGCTTACCTGAAGGGGAGGGGAAATTTGTTTTCTTTATGAATGTTACCTAGTTAGCTTTTCCAAACTAGAACTTTCCAAGTTAATGCCTGCCAACACAATAATTGTATAAACTTTGGGGTGTGGGCAATGACAGACTTGTCAGTTTGGGTCTGAGGTGTTTAGAGATGCAATGCCAGGAGGAATTAAGTTGACTGAAATCATGTAGCTAATATCATAAATTTTTTATCTGAGAATAAAGGTTGAATATTACATTTAAGTTAAGCATCAGGCAGGAGTAAAACCAGATGATAGAATCAGTTGGAAATTAGATGACCAGCAACAAAATCACTTGCTACTTAAGGTGCAAGCAGGAACTAATTCTGACATCGCAGCCCATGTGTCCTCTCTGCCATCTCTCTTTGATATTAATAATTGTCAGCCAAAGAACAAGGGGGACATATTTTTGAGGACCAAAATATCTATACACAAAATGACTCTATGAATTGAGGTAAATTGAGAATTCATCTCAAAGTTTTAACATAAAGCCAAATTAAGTTCCACATTTTAAATCACTTAGACTATTTTTAAGCATTTACATATTTGTTCTTATTAAAGGATATTGAAAACTTATTATGTCTTAGGTGTTCCATAATTTATCTCTTATAGATTATGGCAGAGCTCCAGAGAGCTCTAATTAAACAAAATATCAATGTAGAAAAAGAAAATTGGGGTTAGAAATTGTATTTGAGTTTATGCAGATGATTAAAACCAGGATCAAATAGTGTTGATAATTAATCATTTTAGCAAATTACTTTAGAGTAATTGAAATAAGTTTGGATTAGTAATGTTGAAGTTGTTGTACACAAGCACAATAGTCTTTAGTTCTTCCCCATATATTTCACTCTATCCCTTCACGTTAATATTTATAACTAAATGAAATAATTTCCTGGTGTGGACAACTTATTTTTGGTTATCTGCTCCTTCAGGTAGATATGTAGATAAGAGTGAAGTAGAATTAAATACATTAGTGATTTAAATAATGTGAGGCTCAAAAATAGTCAAAATAAATTATCACTACCTCAGTTCTGAATTTTTTTTCTTAATTGAATAGCAAGACAATAGAAAATAGAGATGTCCAAAGAACATATTCATTTGCAGTTACTTTTAAATGCTGGCATATATTATTACCTTTTAAAAGTTTTCATGAAATATGGTTCTCCTCTTCTAAGAAAATACTAAGCATCCTGCATCTTGAGAATATATGGGCATTTCTTGTAAAAGATGAAGAGATTCTGAGTCAATATGTCCCATGTGCCAATCTTCATGTGTGCCTCTAGAACACAGTATTTCCCACACATTTGCAATTTGGCAGCTGCTCTCCCATAGATTATTTATCCTTGATGCTCCCTGTGGTAGTTAATTTTGTGAGTGAACTTGACCCAACAATGAGATGCCCAGACATTTGGACACACATTATTCTGAGTGTATCTGTGAGGGTGTGCCTGAATGAGATTAACACTTTCATTGGTAGACTGACTAAAGCAGATTGCCCTCCTTAATGTGTTTGGGCCTCATTCAATCAGTTGATGACCTGTATAAAACAGAAAAGGCTGATCCTTCCTCAAATAGGAAGAAACTCCCCTCCTGCGTGACAACCTTGAGCAGGACATTGTTTTTTACCTGCCTTCAGACTTGAACCAAACTATTGGCTCATCCTGTGTCTTGAGCCTCCTAGCCTTCAGACTGGAACCATACCATCAGCTCTTCTGGTTCTCAGGCTTTGAACTCAAACTCAAACTACACTGTTGGCTCTTCTAGGTCTACAGCTTGCCAACTGCAGGCCTTGAGACTTAGCCTCTGTAATCAAGTGAATCAATTTCTTACATACATACATACATATATAATGTATATTTATAATATATTTAAATTATAATATATATCCAAATATATATTATATAAATATATGATTAATAAAATCAGCAGCTCTCTCACTCTTTTCTCATCATGACTAGCAACCTCTTCCCATGACAAGATGCTGCTTACATTACAAGGATATTGGAAGTGAAAATAATGTGGTGCAGGGCACACTTATTACTCCATTATCCAGAACGTCATCATTTTGTGTTTGAAAGTCAATATCACACGCTAATAAAGATATAGGGGCTACCAAAAGGAATTCTGATGTGTTTTGGGAGGAAGTTTAAGGAGAAGTATGGAATAATGAAAGCCCCTTTTGAGATTTCCCCATAGTGTGAGAATAAGAATGAATATTTCTTCTGGTAATCTAGTGCATAAGTATTAAGTGAGATTACTTCCCAAAGACAGAAAAGCATTAATTTTGAGAGGAAATTAAACCTAGATACTTTTTAATTGAAGGCCAAAAATAATCCTTGAAATAACAGAATTTGATAGCCCTCTGCCCAGCAACAGGTCTAGATTTAAATATTTAGGTAAAGTAGGGTCAATCCAAAATCTGTTCCTCTCTCACACTGCCTAGTACAGATTTAAATACAACAATGGTTCTCAATCCTGCCTGCCCTTTAGAATAAAATATATAGATATAAAAAATAAAAAGTGATTGAGAGCAGAGAGGCACCCTAGGAAAACGGGGTATACTCACTGTAGAAAAACTGGGGTAGAATATGAACGTCAGAAATTTCTTCTAGCTCCCCATGTATACTCTCATATATTCACAGAGTTGAGAACTATTGGTGTATATGTAACTTCCAGGCATTAAAACCATCTTCCAAATAAAAATTGCCCAAAGCCCAAGATGAATATTGACATCACTTTGGAAAAATATTATATGTATACTTTAATAACATGCAAGAGGGAAAAGAAAGAGATAGAGAACATTTTTAAATACCAAATGCTATTCTTCTTATAATTCCAATAAATGAGCATATGTCCCAGAGTAAGCGTGAGATGGAAGAAGTGAGTGTACTGTTTCTTCAGCAGGTTTTAGTCTCTGCAAGCTTCTTCTAAGTGGGGACTTGGCAAAACACTGAGGGTGATTATTTAAATAAATATTTAAATATGGTTTTCTTAAGGCATGGGTTTGAAACTTCAGCTAACTGCCTTTCTGGTGTTCAGCAAAGTTACAATCTGTCTCAATGATGGAAGGAAATCCTTTGTATTGGACATATTGAAAGACCATATGTTGCTTTTCAATGGGGCGGCTTTTCCAAGGAGACTGCAGCAATAGGATGCCTTTAAAACCCAAACTAACCTTAGCTGTGCTTTAGAAAACACTCCACTTCAATGTTTTTCTCTATGTTATGCCAGGTCTTATTATCAGAGAGGGATTTTTATCTCTGCTTATTTAAATAGCAAACAGGTAACACATCTTTATGATACGATACAAACAAAACCCAGAGGGGTTAAGTGAGGTTACACTCATAACACAGTAGTCATAGTATAACTTCTCATTTTATTTACAATACAAATAGCAACAAATATAAAAGAGAAAAAAACAGTGATTACTATATATGTTAGTAAGATTTTACAATGTTTCAGCATGAGCTCAAATCTATGAAACAGCTTTCAAGTCCTGTTACAAAGTGCAAACAGGTTTGATCACTTTGAAATTATCAGCAGGTTAAGCTTCAGAATTGTTATCTGATAGATGCTTGTTGTTTATATTAGCCTTGAAATTTCTCCTTATCTCTCACCTGATGTAAAAGTGTTATATTTCTAAACTGATCAAAGCATCCTTTGTGTTCTTCAGTGTCTTACCACAGCTGATATTGTGTTGGGAAGAAAAACTGTCTCAAACTTGTTGCAAATAAAATACCAGTTTGTCATGGTTTGATATTGCTATTGATTGCATTAACCAAGTGCAACCTATTCTGTTTGATATCATTGTTAATCATGGGCTATAGGTGAAACTCTGGAAGTAAGTGTCTTGGTGGGTGAAGTAGTGTTTTCTTTTCTGATATATAAAGTAGAATATATGGTCAACATCAAGCAGCCCTAAGTATATGATCACATCCCTTCGTGTGATATCTCTTAATGAGGTGATGAAAACTCAGAATCTCTTATAGATTTCTGGATACTCCATGAGGTAGGCACTTTGTACCAGCTGAAATGTGGCTAAGGGTGAGAAAAGTCTGAAATGGCAAGTGGAGAAGTGAGAGTGATATCAATTACTGATTTGATATCATGTGTAATACTCTGATTAGAGTTCCAATAAACCTCTTGAATTTCTGCCAGGTTTTTGTATGAGGATGATCCTGGCCTCATAGAATGATTTAGGGAGAAGTCCCTCCTCCTCAATTTTTTGGAATAGTTTCAGTAGAAATGGTACCAGCTCAGTTTTATACATCTGGTAGAATTCAGCTGTGAATCCATCCTGGGCTTTTTGTGTTTGGTAGGTGATATGGTTTGGTTCTGTGTCCCTACCCAAATCTCATCTCAAATTGTAATCCCCATGTGTTGAGGGAGGGACCTAGTGGGAGGTGATAGGATCATGGAGGTGGTTTCCCCTATGCTGTTCTCATGATCCTGAGGGAGTTCTGATGAGAACTGATGATTTAAAAGTGTTTGGGGCTTCCTCTCTCACACTTTCTTCTGCCACCATTTAAGACATATTTTGCTTTCATTATGATTTCCACCTTGACTGTAAGTTTCCTGAGGACTCCCCAGCCATGCAGAAGTGTGAGTCATTTAAACCTTCTTTCTTTATAAATTACCCAGTCTCAGGAAGTTCTTTATAGTAGTGTGAAAATGGACTAATACAGTAGGCTATTTATCACTGCCTCAATATTAGAGCTCATTATTGGACTATGTGGGGATTCAAGTTCTTCTTGGTTCAGTCTTCAGAGGGCCTATGTGTCCAGGAATTTACCAATTTCTTCTAGATTTTTCTATTTTATGTGCATAGACGTGTTCATAATATTCTGTGATGGTTGTTTGTATTTCTGTAGGGTCAATGGTAATATTTCCCTTTTCATTTTTGATCACGTTTATTTGGATATTCTCTCCTTTCTTCTTGATTAGTAATTTCATTATTTACCTAAAAGTCATTCAGGTGGAGGTTATTCAATTTCCATGTAATTCCAAGGTTTTGGGTGAAATTCTTACTCTTGATTTCTAATTTGATTGTGCTGTGGTCCTAGGGATTATTGGTGAGAATTTCAGTTCTTTTGCATTTGCTGAGGAGTATTTTACTTCTAAAACAATTTTAGAGTATGCACCACATGGCGATGAGAAGAATGTATATTCTATTTTTTAGAGGTTGTGAGTTCTGTATATATCAATCTGGTCCATTTGATTCAGAGCTGAGTTCAGTTCCTGAATATCTTTTTTAAATTGCTCTCTCAATTATCTAATACAGTCAGTGGTGTGTTAAAGCCTCCTACTATTATAGTGTGGGAGATGAAGTCTCTTTGAAGGACTCTAAGAACTTGCTTTATGAATCTGGGTGCTCCTGTGTTGAGTGCATATATATTTAGGATAGTTAGATCTTCTTTTTGAATTTAACACTTTACCATGATGTAATGCCCTTCTTTGCCTTTTTTGATATTTGTTGGCTTAAAATCTGTCTTATCAGGAACAGAATTGCAACCCCTGCTTTTTACTGTCTTTCATTTGTTTGGTAGATTTTCCTGCATTCCTTTATTTTGAGCCTATGTGTATCATTGCATGTGAGATAGTTCTCTCGAAGACAGCATACCAATGAGCCTTAGTTTTTTATCCAGCTTGCCACTCTGGGCCTTTTAATTTGGGCACTTAGCTCATTTACATTTAAAGTTAGTATTAATACGTGTGGATTTGATTTTGTCATCATGATGTTAGATGCTTATTTTGCAGACTTGTTTATGTGGTTGCTATATACTGTCACAGGCTTTTGTACTGTAATGTGTTTTTGTAGTGGCTGGTAATAGTCATTCCTTTCCATATTTAGTGCTTCCCTCAGGAGCTCTTGTAAGGCAGGTCTGGTGGTAACAAATCCCCTCAGTATTTGCTTTTCTGAAAAATTTCTAATTTCTCTTTCTTTCTTTTTTCTTTTGTTCTGGTTTTTTGTTTGTTTGTTTGTTTTAACAGAGTCTCTCTCTGTCACCCAGGCTAGAGTACAGTGGCATGATCTCAGCTCAGTGCAACCTCCATCTCCCGGGTTCAAGCAATTCTCCTGCTCAGCCTCCTGAGTAGCTGGGATAACAGACTCCTGCCACCATGCTCAGCTCATTTTTGTATTTTTAGTAGAGGCGGGATTTCACCATGTTGGCCAGGCAGGCCTCAAACTCCTGACCTCAAGTGATCCACCTGCCTTGACCTACCAAAGTGCTGGGATTACAGGCATGAGCCACTGAACCAGGCCCTTATTTCTCTTTCACAAATGAAGCTTAGTTTGGCTAGATGTGAAATTCTGGTTTGGAATTTATTTTCTTTAAGAATGTTGAATATTGACCCCTAATCTCTTCTGGCTTGTAGGTTTTCAGCTGAGGGGTCCACTGTCAGTCTGCTGGGCTTCCCTTTGTAGGTGACCTGGCCTTTCTCTCTAGCTGCCTTTAACATTTTTTCTTTCATTTCAGCCTTGGATAAACTGATGACTAATTGTCTTGGGTATGATCTTCTGGTGAAGATCTTACTGGTGTTCTCTGCATTTTCTGAATTTGAATATTGATCTCTGTAGCTAGGCTGGGGAAGTTCTCATGGATGATATCCATCAATGTTTTCCAAGTTGGTTCCATTCTCTCCCTCTCTTTCAGGACACTAATCAACCACATATTCAGTCTCTTCACATAATTCCATATTTCGCTGAGGTTTTGCTCATTCCTTTTTAATTTTTTTCTCTATTCTTGTCTTCTTGTCAAATTTCAGAAAGCCAGTTTTCTGCCTCTGAGATTGTTTCCTCTGCTTGTACTCTCTGCTATTAATACTTGTGATTGCATTATAAAATTTTTGTAGTGTGTTTTTCAGTTCTATTAGGTCAGTTATGTTATTTTTCTCTACTGGCTATTTTGTCTGTCATACCTGCATTGTTTTATTATCATTTTTAGCCACCTTGCATTGGGTTTCAACAGACTCCTGAAACTCAACGATCTTCTTTCCTATAACTATTCTGATTTCTATTTCTTTTTCGAATTAGATAATTTCAGTCTTTGAGGTTGCTGACCTCTGGGTGGTTTTTTATTTTCATTTATTCTACTTGATGCCTTCAGTGTTTTGTTGTGGTATAAGGTGGATTCAGCCATCTGGCTTTGTTTCTGGGAGATTTTAGGTGTCCAGCGCTTGGATCCCAACTCCTGAACTGCATGCTGTAAATCTGGGGGACTTGTATTGAGCCCTAACTATGTTCTCTGGCTTTGGTAGGTTTGGAGTCCACTGCACTGTGGGGGCTGAGATGCAATAGCTGCAGTAGAGTGCTAGCAGATACAGTGGTGCCTTCATTTCTGCCAGCATTTTTTATTATCTAGTATTCATTTAAAAATTAATGCAGGTAAAATGTACAGCCATGACAAAAATAGGACTGTATGATTTAAAATCAAGAAAGAATACCACAAAGAAAACATGTTCAGTTTTGATCCAGATATTTAATTAGTAGACAAGAAATTTAAAATATCTATTATTAACATGTTCAAATACATAAAAGATTATAACTATATATAGCACAATGGAAAATTCTATCAGTGATCTAGATTCTATAAAAATGAGAAGAAGAGAAGTAAAATTTACAATAACTAATAGGATTTCAATATTGGAGTTTAACAGTTGATGGAAAATGGTAGAAGACACAATTAGAGATTTGGCAAAGAAAACCTAGCTAGACTGAATAATAGAAGGCAAATTTTATAAAAGTATAGAAGAGTATACGAGTTATGTGGGACACAGAAAACACAGACTCATTACTTAACCAGAACCTACAAAGACCTATGCTCAGCACAGTGGCTTACACCTGTAAATCCATATGGGAATATCACTTGAGCCTGTGAGTTCAAGACCAGCCTGGGAAACATGGCAAGACTCTGTCTCTACAAAAAAAATGAAAAATTTGCTGGGCATTCTGGTGTGAGCCTATAGTTCCAGCTACTCAAGAAGCTGAGGGAGGAGGATTGTTTCAGCCCAGGAGGGCAAGGTTGCACTGGACCCCAGCCTCAGTGACAGAGCAAGACATTATCAAATAAATAAATAAATAAATAAGAAAGGAAAAAAATAAGAAAAGAGAGAAAGACAAAGAAAAAGACCTCCTACTTTTTAAAAAGATAGCAAAATATAACTCAAAGGACAGATATACAAAAGGTGTAAACATGAACTTTATGAAAGAGAAAATATAATGACCAATAAACAAAGATGCTCAAAATTGAAAGTTGTCATGAGAAGGCAAAAACAAGGATGAACCTCCTGGACATTATGCTTAGTGAAATAAGCCAGGCAAAGAAAAACAAATACTGCATGATCTCACATGTATGTGGGATATATTAAAAAACGAATTAATAGAAGCAGAGAGTAAAATGGTGATAACCAAAGGTTAGGTGAAGGGGATGGGAGCAAAGGGGAGCAATTGGTGAAAGTGCATAAAGTTTCAGTTAGACAGGATAAATAACCTCTGGATATATGCTGTACAGCATGGTTACTATAGTTAATAATAATGTGTAGTATACTTGCAAATAGCTGAAAGACTAGATTTTAAATGTTCTCAGTAAAAAGACAATAAGTATGTGAGGTGATGGATTTGTTAATAAGCTTGATTTAATCACTTCAAAACGTATACATATATCAAAACATCATGTTGTATGCCATAAATATAAATAATTTGTCAATTAAAAATAAATTTAAATGGAAAAAGTGAGCATGATAAAAATATTATTCTGCACAGCTATCTCACTCAGTGTCTTCAAAAATGAAAACAAAACACACAATAAAAACAAGTATTGGTAAGGATGTAGAGCAATGTGAACTTTAATAGTCTGTAGCTGGGGAAGCAGTATTTTATAATGCTTTTATCAATGTGTGCTAATGAACATACATGAAGAACCTGAAGGCCAGGCACAGTGGCTCAGGCCTGTAATCCCAGCACGTTGGGAGGCCGAAGCAAGTGGATCATGAGGTCAGGAAATCAAGACCATCCTGGCTAACACAGTGAAACCCTGTCTCTACTAAAAATACCAATAATTGGCCAGGTCTGGTGGCACATACCTGTACCGATACTCTGAAGAATCGCTTGAACCCAGGAGGCGTAGGTTGCAGTGAGCCCAGATTGTGCCACTGCACTCCAGCCTGGGCGACACAGCAAGACTCCAAAAAAAAAAAAAAAAAAACAAAAACAAAAACAAAAAAAAAAACAAAAAAAAAAAACAAAAAAACAAACCTCCGTTTTCAGCCCCACTCAAGAATAATGTGCAAATATATTTACTCAAAGACATGTACAAAAAAACTTTCACAGGACAATATTTATAATAACCCCAAACTAGAAAAAGAAATCAAATATCTTTTGAGAATGAAATTCATAAGTGAAGCATGATATATTTATTCAGTGGAATAGCATAGAAAACAATGAGAATAAACAACTTGCATGAAACAATTATCTTCCTTCCAGTCATGAATTCAGGACTCACTTCGCTACCAAATGGAGTTAAAAAATATGATTAAGTTCTCTACACATCCTATTTTTTAAGAGGTTGCAAGCCAAGGAAGGTAACTGTGAGTGTGGGAAAAGTAGTATTTCCTAGCAGCGAGAAGTAATAGGATTTTACACAGGGTTTTTTGAAAATGACAAATAAAAGAACTGAAGAAAATAAGGGACGATAGAGGAAGGCTGACATTGGATACCCTCTCCATCAAGCCAAAATCTGAATAATTACTTTGGCACTCCCACCCCATCCCACCCCACAGTATACAAGAAACAAATAAATTATAATCTCGATTTCATGTTTCCCAGTATTCAAAGAGTATGTGTCTGTGATATCTACTTGAATAGTGAGTAAAATAACTGTATACATATCAATTATATTTCAGCATTAGTTTGGGTTGAAAAAGCCTGCATGTGCTTGGGAATCATATTCTCCTTCATTGTAACATTTTTGGGCTAGATCCAAAATGAGTAGGGAAAGCATCAGCTCTTCTTTGTAGAGTAGCACACCCATCCGTCCCAGGTTATGAGAAGCTTTGACATTCATGCAGAATGGCAGACTCTAGTCCCAGTAACCACAGGGTTGATTGCCCTGCCTTCCTTTTCCCTAGAGAAGCAAGAAACAGTCCACTAAAGGAAGGATGGAATCTCTGCTATTCAACAAATACAAATTGGCACAATTTAACAAAAACTTGTTGTATTTGAACTAATAGGACTCTTACTTCGTATATTTCAAATACGTATTACACTGCTTAGAACTTAGTAAGTGATTGAAAAAGTTCTGTCCTTTATTATTCTTCTTTCTCCTCACTCTTCAAAATAAAATCCTGGTGGAGGTGAGGTAGTTAGTTTAAAGAATCACACTGAAGCCATCTCAGGTGAAATATCGATAACAAAATATTGTATGAAAAACATATATTATGCCTCTTGTAATGAGGTCTAAAATGAGAGAAGGTGAGAGAGACAAAGAGACTGACAGAACAAAGAAGCAATATCTTCAAAGAAAATTGCTACAGAGAAGTGAAAGGCATAGTGAGGTTAGCAGTCAATGAATAAAATCTGAGTAACGACTGTGCAAATGTGGAGAAACAACATCCCGAGTATGGCAGCATGAATTACCCTGCCCATTCCTCCCATTCCTAAGACCCACCTATTAGCTGAAAGCAGAATAGGATGATATGTATAGGTATGGCATGCTGAGGACAGGTGAAATGACCGTATCATAAGAATAATCGTGTGCATTGCTTAAGAACTCCATGGATTCTTTGGGTGGCTCGAAATTTCTCTGACTATCCTAGTGGATTTATTGCAGCAAAATATCAGAATTGAGAACCAGATAATGCAAGACTAGAGGAAATGACAATTATGAAACACCCAGAACATGCATACCCATCTAATGATGGGTATACCCAGTCTAAATGAGAAAGTTGGAATGGCCTAGTTAAACCAAAAAAACAAAACAAAACAAAAAAACAAAAAAAAAGGAAAAATAAAAGATGCTCAGTGTATTCTCCAAATGATTTGACTTCTGGGCTTGTGACCTGAAACAATTATGGAAACAGTGTTATTTCTTCTAAAATAGAGTAAAATAAAACAAAATAAAATATAAAACATTTTGTATACACACAAAGCACACAATGAACATTTACTCTTCAAAATCATTCCCTAAATCCAATAATGATGTGATAGAGTTGAAAAAATGACCAAAATTATATTATTATAAAGTATTAGTCTTGGCCACTTCTTAATGTTGAAATTAAGACAAAAGTGTCATGGACAAAGACACTCTTTCTTTCCAATGAACTTGAAAAATCAGCAACATGTAAACACACACACACACACACACACACACAGAATTCTAACGTTATTTACAAGTCTCCAAATTCTTCCCTTGTAAGACCAGTTTGTTTCCAATATTTCCAGTTTCATTAGCAAATTGTTCTCAATTTTGATTTTACTAGTTTGATTTGTGTTTATATAATTTCACACTCACTCTTACAATGATCCTCCATACAATATCAAAACTTCTGAAGCTAAGGATTGTATTTAAGAGAGGCTTGCTGGAAAAAAAATGACTATGAAGAACATGGGAATAAACTGGTCTAAACAACAGGGTCAAGTCTGAATGCCAAGGGAGAAATTCCAATTATAAGGGGAAAGAGCCCCAAATTGTCAAGCCAAAGAATGAATGAGAATGAGGTGAGTTAGCATGATGTTCACTATCTGTATAAAGAACTCCAAGAGCAAGAAAGTGGACCTTTCTCTGGTGGAGCTGCAGTTGAGGTCAAAATCCCATCCAATACCTTGATTACAGCCTTGCAGAGGATGAAGCTAAACTATATGCAGACTCCTGCCAAATAGAAACAATGAGATAATAAATAGGTGCTGTTTTAATCTGCTAAAATTGTGGTAATATTATTACAAAGAAATAGATTACATACACAGATTTGGTAGAGCATAGAGCATGATATCCAAAGGTTTAGGGAGCTTGGAATATTACAGATAATTTATTGTAAAAGATTTGCTCATCCACCTAGCAGGGTTGGAGGGCAGGTCTTTCACCACATTTGTCAAAACTATATTTAAGATGGAAGTCTCAGCAGTCTTGAGGGACTCTATGTATTCACTGTATGTATTCACTGTAGGTCAGAAATTACAAGGGGCATTTCCACCACTACAAAATACAAATTGTGCCAATTTATATATGTAAATATAAAGGGAATGATGAGACTTGAAGCTGCAGTGGCTCAGTGAAGGAAATTAATTGCCAATGTCAGGGAAAGGTAGGCATGATTACATAATAAACAGAGGAACTTACATAGTAATCAGAGTTGTCTGGCTCATGGAGACCAGTGGCTTTGGCTAGTTGATCCTGGTTTCTCTAGATATAAAATAAATGAACAGACTAATACATTTTTACTTGATCTGTATGAGCAGAAAAGTTCCAGGTCCAGTGAGCAGAGATTGAGTTGAATTCCCAAAATAATGAGTCACAGTCCCTCAACCAATCCCTACACTTGAATGAGCTTACATACCCAGAACCTGTTTAATAAAGTACAAGCTTAGATCCCTTGAAGAAAGACCCTGATATACTGCCAAGAATTGTACTTTTAATCTTTCTCACAGCTTTACTTGGACACCTTTGGATATTTACCAGGGCAAATGTGTATCAAATTTTGGACATTCCTGGACTCTGGCTCCCAAATTACATGAACTCTTGGAAACCCACATCACTATGGTCCAACATTCAGTGTAGGTGCTTATGGAGGTCAGGAAACTGAGTCAATTTCCAAAAAAAAAAAAAAAAAAAAGCCATCAGTTAAAAAAAAGAAAAGCCGCTATGGACTTTTAGCTTAAGTCCATCTCACAGTGGGCCCAGTGAGTCCCCAAACTGTCTTTTGCTTACTCTTTCACTTTTGAAATAATTGGGGTAGACATAAACAGCACCTATCAAAATTGCTACATATTTTTTATTAGTTATCAATTGTTGTGTAGTAATATTATTAAAAATTTAGGGCCTTTAACTATTTTGCAGTTTATAAAGAGATTCTGCACATCAAAAGAAGCTATCATCAGAGTGAACAGACAACCTACACAATGGGAGACAATTTTTGAGATCTATCCATCTGACAAAGTTCTAATATACAGAGTCTACAAGAAACAAACAAATTTACAAGAAAAAAAAACAATAAAAAGTGGGCAAAGGATATGAACAGGCTCTTCACAAAAGAAGATATAGATGAGGCCAAAAAACATATTAAACAAAGCTCAACATCACTAATCATTAGAGAAACACAAATCAAAATCACATTGAGATACCATCTCACACCAATCAGAATGGCAATTATTGAAAAGGCAAGAAACAACAGGTGCTGGCAAGGTTGTAGAGAAAAAGAAATGCCTTTACACTGTTGGTGGGAGTGTAATTTAGTTCAACTATTGTGGAAGACTGTGTGGCAATTCCTCAAACATCTAGAAGCAGAAATACCATGTGACCCAGGAATCCCGTTACTGGATATATGCCTAAAGGAATATTAATTATTCTGTTATAAAGATACACGCAAGCATATGTTCATCGAAGCGCTCTTCACAATAGTAAGGACATGGAATCAACCTAAATGCCAATCAATGATAGACTGGACAAAGCAAATGTGGTACATCTAAACAATACTATGCAGCCATAAAAAGGAATGAGAGCATGTCCTTTGTAGACATGGATGGAGCTGGAAGCCATTATCCTCAGCAAACTAATGCAGGAACAGGAAACTCAACACTGCATGTTCTTACTTACAAGTGGGAACTGAATGATGAGAACACATGGACACAGCAGGGGAACAACACACACTGGGGCCTGTTTGGAGGGTGATGGGAAAGAGAGCATCACAAAAATATAACTAATGGATGCTAGGCTTAATGATTGGTGATGGGATTATTTGTGCAGCAAACCACCATAGCACACATTTACATATGTAATCTGCACACATACCCCTGAATTTAAAATAAAAGTTGAAAAAAAAATATTTTGTAGTTTATCAGCTTACATATTCTGTCAGTCTGGAGTCTAGGCATGGCTTACTTGGGTTTTCTGAATGACGATCAAGATGTTATCCAGGGCTAGGCACTGCTCAGAAGCTCTACTGGAGAAGTATCTCTTCCAAGTTCATGTTGTGGTTAGCAGGATTCAGTTCTTTCAGGTGTCCAGATTGAAGACCTTCATCCTTGTCATCTATGAACTGGAAACTGCCCATATTTTTTTCCAACATGGCCCTTTCTTTTTTTAAATTTATTTTTATTTTTTATTTTTTTATTATTATTATACTTTAAGTTTTAGGGTACATGTGCACAATGTGCAGGTTAGTTACATATGTATACATGTGTCATGCTGGTTGGCTGCACCCATTAACTCATCATTTAGCATTAGGTATATCTCCTAATGCTATCCCCCACTCCCCCCACCCCACAACAGTCCCCAGAGTGTGATGTTCCCCTTCCTGTGTCCATGTGTTCTCATTGTTCAATTCCCATCTATGAGTGAGAACATGCGGTGTTTGGTTTTTTGTCCTTGCGATAGTTTGCTGAGAATGATGGTTTCCAGCTTCATCCATGTCCCTACAAAGGACATGAACTCATCATTTTTTATGGCTGCATAGTATTCCATGGTGTATATGTGCCACATTTTCTTAATCCACTCTATCATTGTTGGACATTTGGGTTGGTTCAAAGTCTTTGCTACTGTGAATAGTGCCGCAATAAACATACGTGTGCACCAACATGGCCCTTTCTATAAGACAGCATACAAGGTGGCAACCTGCTTCTTCGAAGGCAACAAAAGATTAAGAGGTAAAGTGAATAAAATATTAGGATTTTATGGCCCTTTCTATAAGACAGCATACAAGGTGGCAACCTGCTTCTTCGAAGGCAACAAAAGATTAAGAGGTAAAGTGAATAAAATATTAGGATTTTATGGGCCTTTCTATAAGACAGCATACAAGGTGGCAACCTGCTTCTTCAAAGGCAACAAAAGATTAAGAGGTAAAGTGAATAAAATAATAGGATTTTGAAGCCCTGGAATCAAGAACTTGGATCCACCCCTCATTGTTCTCAAGATGGTTCAAATTCTTTTCAGCTAAGTTCAAAGATGATCCTAATACATAGATAGTGGAAGTTCATTCAGGCTAGTGGGAAAAAATGTAATATGAAGTCATAGGAAATAAACACAAACCCTCTTGGAAGGCCTAGAGGTTTGCATAAAGTGTTTGGCTAAAGGCAGCCAAATTCATTTAATGGCTTAGGGTGCAGATACAAAGGAATGTAGAGTAGTTTATCTAAAGAGCTTGTTTACTCATGTGGTCCTAAAACTAACCTTTGATCATTAATGGGCAAGATGGCTCTCCTGGGGTGGAGGTGACCAGATTACCTACCCACAGGTGTGTTGATGGAAAGCCTTTGTCATTAAAACTGTGCTAAATAAATGCCTGCAGGGCCAGCTGGTCGGGGCCGTGGTTGCTGACTCTTTTCAGCACCTTCCTTGGTGTCTGTGAGCTGTTCAGACCCTAGCTGCTCTTTCACTGAATATTGGTGTCTGGGTACATTATTCATCCATTGTGCAAGCTGGGGTCTGTGGAACAGCCCCCCACAATAGATGAATGGTGGATAGGATTTATGTTTAAAAAAGAGATGTAAAATATTATAAACAGTGTAGAGTGAGTAGAGGTTTGGAAAAACTGTAAGCAATACAGGAATTAAAACAACTGGCTTGTTCAGGAACAAATCACTGTGGGGCATAGGTCTCTTATTATCAACTAGGCAAAAATGATATTGGTTATATATATTAGTACTTAGCTCTCGAAGGCCTTATATGCCAAGATAAGCAGTTTGTGAATTTTATCCTACAGTTATTATGGAGTCAGTGTCTTTGAGAGGAGAACAATATAAATAATATGACTATTATCAATAGTTAATAAATATCAAATATAGTAATAATTACTATTATCACATATATATGCTCAAATTTCTTCTTGAAAGATTTTGAGGCAGACCTGATTATTTTTAATTGTTTTCAATATATTAATATGTATTCCTAAAATACAATGTCAATGCAAATAGATTAAAAGTGCACAGTGTTCTATTTGTGGTTAGGTTTGTGATTCTTCCTCTTAGCGACATTTTCTATTGTGGAAATTGATATCATTGATTTGATTAACCTTAATATTTATCAAGTACATAATTTAATGAAAAACAGCTCTTATCAATTCACTGTGAAAAGCATATTGAAAAGCTGTTCAACAGTCACAGATTAAATAGATTGAGATGCATATTTTTTGGCACAACTTCAAAGAATTATACCTGACATGTCTGCCAACTGATGTCAATATGGCTCCATTTAAAAATTAAAATCAGGTTTCTGCGCATGAAACATCTTTTGTAATACTCAGTATATAAAAAAATAGATCACGCATCCCTCTTCAAAGTTAAACATTTGTCAGTGTAGATATGTTTTAAGTTTTTGTCAGTTTCATCTGTATTTAAGATTTATCAACGATGCCATACTTCTGCATTTCACAATGAAATCACCTAGTAAAGGAATTATTTTTTTTTGTCATCATTAAGGTACCAATGTAGAAAAATGAAGTAAAAGATAACATATAGATCATAGCATGACTAACATAAACAATACAGCCAAACTAAACCTTGGAATATTTCTAGGATTATGAAAACATTTATGATGTATGATTACTTACTAAGAAACAGGTTAAAAGGTTAAGTATTAAGAGAAATTATCTTTTATTTAAAAATAATAAAAGAAAAATTTAAGCAAATTATCTAAACCATGAAAATGAAGACAATGATAGTAGACAACAAAATATTTTACCTAATGTTTAATATGTTTTAAAACTATACATCAACATTGTGACTTTATTAAGCATTGACATTCAAGTAAGAGCTATTTATTTTAAATAAGGTAATTTATCTTGTTTCCACTAGACTCTAGTTATTATGCCATCATAACACATACCTTTGCTCCTCTATATTCTAACCCAGAAATTGTAATCATCATTATCTTTTAAGTCAGCAGCAGCAGCACTAGCAGTTATTGATCACATACAATATACAGGAGACTTAACTGATTTCCCTACTTTATTTACTTTTTAAATGTTTAATCATTGGCTATATATTGTAAGCCAGTTCAGAGCTAGAAGTATGCAATACTCACCTTTGTGTCAACACTTTAAACATATAACTCAATGATTTGATAAATAAGATAATCTGAATACATTGATTTTAAAAGTTTTGTTTTCAGTGCTCTCAACCTCAGAATAAGTGTACTAATTTCCATCTCTATCTACGTTATAAAGACCATTAAATGTATGAAAGGAGTTCTTGTATAGAAGAGTACAATGGTGTTGTTATATAATAATGTTGTACAAACTTAAGATATCAGTTTAGTTTTTAAAGAATGCTAGCATTTTATAGGAAAACATGCAGTTTTACAATGATGTGTTTGTGTGTGCGTGTGTGTGTGAGTTTCTTTGTGTTGGGGAATGAGAATAAGAGAGATATTCAAAGTTATGATTGTCAAGCAACCAAGCAGCCCTTAATCGCAAGAAATTGCTATATCAGGCCGGGCGCGGTGGCTCACGCCTGTAATCCCAGCACTTTGGGAGGCCGAGGCGGGCGGATCACGAGGTCAGGAGATCGAGACCATCCTGGCTAACACAGTGAAACCCCGTCTCTACTAAAAATACAAAAAATTAGCCAGGCGTGGTAGCGGGCGCCTGTAGTCCCAGCTACTCGGGAGGCTGAGGCAGGAGAATGGCGTGAACCTGGGAGGCGGAGCTTGCAGTGAGCCGAGATCGCGCCACTGCACTCCAGCCTGGGCGACAGAGCGAGACTCCGTCTCAAAAAAAAAAAAAAAAAAAAAAAAAAAAGAAATTGCTATATCAGCTCCTACATGCTCCTTTTTATCCTCTAGGTAAGATAACAACAATCTCAAATGGAATTCGACAGATTAGTACACATACAATAGCAGGACACACAAACTTCATGTTTGCATTAGTTCCCCATTTTTCCTAAATGCCATGAAGAATGCAGAATGAGCTTATATCAGGAACATGTACACAGAAGATGATGTCACAGCTAAGGAACTCTAAACGCAGAGAATATTCAATTGTATAAGGGTGTTTCCAGCAATCCTATTGATATGATTTGGCTGTGTTCTCACCCAAATCTCAACTTGAATTGTGGTTCCCATAATTCCGATGTGTCATGGAAGGGATCTGGTGGGAGGTAATTGAATCATTGGGGCAGTTTCCTCCATGCTATTCTCATGATAGTGAGTAAGTTCTCATGAGATCTGATAGTTTTATAAGGTGCTTCCCCTTTTGCTGGGCACTCATTCTTCTCCTTCCTGCTGCCATGTGAAGAAGGACATGTTTGCTTCTCCTTCCATCATGATTGTAAGTTTCCTGAGGCCTCTCCAGCCTTGTGGAACTGTGAGTCAATTAAACCTCTTTCCTTTATAAATTATCCAGTCTCTAGTATGTCCTTATAGCAATGAGAGAGAAGACTAATGCACCTACTTAAAGTTTTTTTAGAGGACTCCTTATCTTTATGATACTACCCAGGAAACAAAGTTTTCCTCTGACCTGGAGAAAGACAATACATCTAGTTACCAATGCTATTTGCTATGAAAATAACTGTAGAATTTGGAAATAAAATCTGAGATAAAATGTAATAAGACAAGTAGAAACACCAGCTGGTTTGAGTCTATTGTATTGACTCACAGTAGACTCAAACCAGTAGAACGAATATTGTTTAGTTACCATTTATTAATGGGTATGTTTTGTGTAATCTAAGGTAGTAGAAAGTTGGATAATAATTGCAATTGTTGGCTATATTTCAACATGTTTAAACTAAAGCTGAAGGCTGTCTTCAATATGGAACCATTTTAAGAAAACAAAAATACCATTGTTAAAAATCCGGTGCTGTATCCTGGCATGGAATGTATCTTTTTTAACTAATAAACTTTATAAAGCAGTTTTGGATTCACAGCAAAACTGAGTGGAAAGTAGAGTTCCCACATATCCACTATTCCCACACCTCCACAACCTTCCCCACAATCAACATCCTGCACTGCAGTAGTGTATTTGTTACAATCGATGAACCCACATTGGCACATCATTATACACCAAAGTCAATAGTTTACATCAAATTTCACTCTTCGTGTTGTACATTCTATGTGCTTTAACAAATGTATAATGACATGTATCTGCCACTGTAGTATCATACAAAATAGTTTCACTGTCACAAAAATTTTCTGTGCTTCATTTATTCATCCCTCCCTCTCCCAAACCCCTGGCAACCACTGACATCTTTATTGTCTCCATAGTTTCATCTTTTTGAAAATGTCTTATAGTTAGAATTATACAGTATGCAGCCTTTTCAGATTGGATTCTTTCACTTAGTAATGTGCATTTAAGGTTTGATATGGTTTCGCTCTGTGTCCCCACCCAAATATCATCTCGAGTTGTAATCCCTACCTTTCAAGGGAGGTAGGTGATTGGATCATGAAGAAGGCTTCTTCTGTGCTCGTCTCGTGATAGTGAGTGAGTTCTCATGACATGAGATCTCATGGTTTTATAAGCATCTGGCATTTCTTTGCCTTGCACTTCACACACTCTCTCTCTCCTGCTGCAGTGTGAAGAAGGTCCTTGCTTTGCCATCACCTTCTGCCATGACTGGAAGTTTCCTGAAGCCTCCCCAGCCATGTAAAACTGTAAGTCAATTAAGTCTTCTTCATTTATAAATTACCCAGTATCAGGCAATTCTTTAGAGCAGTGTAAGAACAGACTAATACAGTAAATTGGTGTGACAGAGAGTGGGGCAGTTCTACGAAGACACCCAAAAATGTGAACGTGACTTTGGAACTGGGTAACAGGCAGAGGCTGGAACAGTTTGGAACTACCAAGAGACTTGTTGAATGGTTTACTAACATGCTTATAGAGATATGGACAATGGAGTCCAGGCTGAGTTGGTCTCACATGGAGATGAGGAACTTCTGGGGAAGTGGAGCAAAGCTGACTGTTGCTATGCTTTAGCAAAGATACTGGTGGCATTTTGCTGCTACCCTAGACAACTGTGGAACTTTGGGTGTGAGAGAGGTGATCTGAAATTGGGACTTATGTTTAAAAGGAAAGCAGAGTATAAAGGTTTGAAAAATTTGCAGTCTGATGATGCAATAGAAAAGAAAAACCCATTTTCTGGGAAGAAATTCAAGCCAGCTACAGAAATTTGCATAAATAATGAGAGACCAAATATTAATCCCAGGACAATGGGGAAAATGTATCCAGGGCATGTCAGAGACCTTCATGGCAGCCCCTCCCATCACACACCCTGAGGTCTAGACAGAAAATATGGCTTTGTGGGCTAGTTCCAGGGCCTCACTGCTGTTCTGTGAAGCTTTGGGATTTGGTACCCTGCATCAAAGCCATAGCTAAAAGGGGCCAACATACAGCTCAGGCCATTGCTTCCGAGGTTGCAAGCCTCCAGCCTTTGCAACTTACATGTGGTGTTGAATCTGTGGGTGCACAGACGTCAAGAATTGAGGTTTGGGAACCTCTGCCTAGATTTCATAGGATGTATGGAAACACCTGGATGTTCAGGCAGAAGTCTGCTGCAGCAGGGAAGCCCTCATGGAGAACTTCTGCTAGGGCAGTGCAGGAGGGAATTGTGGTGTTGGAGCACCCACACAGGGTTTTCACTGGGGCATAGCCTACTGGAGCTTTGAGCAGAGGGCCACCATCCTCCAGATCCCAGAATGGTAGATCCATTGACAGCTTGTGTCATGCACCTGGAAAAGTTCCAGACACTCAACACCAGCCATGAAAGCAGCCAGGGTAGGAGGGTGTACCCTCCAAAGCCAAAGGAGCAGAGCTGCCTAAGATCAAGGGAGCCCACCTCTTGCATCAAAATAATCTGGATGTAAGACATGGAGTCAAAGGAGACTATTTAGGAGCCCTAAGGTTTAATGACTGCCCCCATTGGATTTTGGACTTTCATGGAGCCTGTAGCCCCTCTGTTTTGGCCAATTTGTCCCATTGCAATGGGAGCATTTTCCAATGCCTGTACCTCCAGTGTATCTTGGAAGTAAATAACTTCCTTTTGATTTTGATTAAAATTGTCAGGATTTTCAGTTTTAATTTTAAAGAGATTTAACAGTCATAGAATATGGAACACAAAGGTATGTACTTTGTAATTTTAGTAACATCTGCATGCATTTTTTATTGACAGGCTTAATGAGAAGTCCAACAAAAGAGAGAGAGAGGGAGAGAAAGAGAATGGTATGGTGTGTGTTCCTGTAAAGTCTCAGGCATCGCTTCGCAAACCTTTACCAGTTTGAATAATTTTGTATATAACTTAAACCCTAGTTCTAGCTATATGAACTAGGCATGATAAAAGTATATTTACAAAAAGAAATGCTGTTTCATTGAAACTTTTCTGCCTATATGTTTATAGTCCAAGTTGTGTCACAGGAGAATGCTAACTTGCAGACTATGTTTACACCATTTGTCCTTTAGGAACTTTTATTTTGCTGCAAACCACAACAACTTTGTAATGGGCACTTCTGAATCATACATATTTGTTCCACGGAACACTATGTGCTGCAGGAGACTTTAGCCACCTGAGAAGCTCAAAACTGATGAAACTTTGAACCCACACTCATCTTTCAACCAGAAAATGCTCATTTTCAATGTTAAACTTCTAAGTAAGATTGTTTGAAAACACAATTTTGCTGATAAAGTAAATTACTTTTTAAAAATTGCTATAGCAAATGGAGTATTCTATCAGTTGGCTACTAAAATTGAATATCATTTGAAAATAAATGCTATGCTTAAATTTCTTCAGGATACCAGTATTTTTATTTTATGTTATTCAAGGGAGCAAAACTCATTTTTCTAGAATTAAAAAAAATCCAAGAAAGGAATTCCATTTTTGAAATGATCTGAATTTACGTAACTCTATAATAAAACAAAACAAAACAAAACAAAAAATGTGATACATGCAGTTTGCAATGACTACTGTTTAACATAGTGAATCAAATCTTTGATACTGTTTACCATTGTGTGGTGTTTTTATTATAGTATGCTCCTGAAGGAACTTCAATAAATTATCTCATACCTTCATCAGCTTAATGTGACAAGGAAAGAAAACAGAATTGTTGAGTATACACATCATTTCCAAACCTAGAAGTAGCATTTCTTCTCAGGGTTAAACATATAAAAAGCAGGGAAAATAAAATAATAACATTTCTTGTGCAAGCACTGTTATTTATTTGTTAGTACAGAGACTACTATTATTTCTAGGTTGTTTTTGACCACACAGATGAGTAATATTCTTTGCCTATACACAGAAAAGCAACCTAACTCTCTGAGATATTCTAGAAAAAAACTGCCAAGAAGAAAAGAGTGGGAAAGTTTGAAGAAAATAAAATGTTTAGGCTTGTGAGAAAAAACAAAGGACACTGTAAAAGAATTGATAAGAAACTTCACTACTCAGCAAAGGTTAATCTAGTAATATATGAGACAAGTGAATATTGAATTTTTTTCATTGTATTAAAAAGTAAAATGTCTAGTAGGAGAAATTTGAGTAAGTTAGTAACACAGAGAAAAGATTATCTTCATTTCCCATCAGATTAACAACTGAAGTGAATGTCAGAAGACACACAACGAAGTCACTCTCCAGGTATACATTGAATGATAGGTGAACAAGTTCAGTCCCAAGGGAAATTAGTGGGCAAAATTTATTTGAAAAAGTAATTATCTAAAGTAAGGAACCCTTTTAAGCTCTTTGAACTCTGAAATGGGAAATTCCTCTCTTAAAGATCTAAAAAGACTGGGAAAAATAAAGTACTATGCATTCTCTCCTTTTTAAAGGAAAATGTAGTGCCTTTCATCCACCTAAATCTGAAATAATTTCACTGTCCTTGCCAGTAGTCCTAAATAAAACCAAGCTAACATGGCATTATCTGCTCCACAAGATAAAATGGGCTGCACTTCGAAAAAAACTTTTATTCCTCTTAAGACAATACTCAAAATACCAAACAAATTTATGACAAATGAAGATACAGTTGTCTAAATTAATGATTTCAAAAAGCCACAGTACAAATTAAGTGAAACATAAGTTTCATCATGAAAAAAATGGTACCGTGTTTTCATTAGAATTTAACTTTTTTTTGTAATTCTGGAAACCACAAACAAAAGTAAAAGAAAACTTAAAAATATTATCAAATATACAAATGTACAAAGTCTTAGGAAAGTTAGAGTCTCTGTGACTGAAAGACAAGACATGGGGATTTATTTTCCATGCTGATTTATTGTTACCTTCATGACTCTACTGCAAGCAATGTTAAACTTAAATTTGTAATTAATTATTGTTTTTGCTGAATTTTTGAGGCCTAAAAGCTAGATGGGAGATTAAGTTTAAAGATGACCAATCTCACCAATGTATTTGCTCAACAGTAAATTTGAGTATTTCTCCACATTGCATTATTTTTGAGTATTATTTTCATAATACAATAATTAATTTATATATTTACAATTTGTTCCTTTACATCATTCTGAATATAAGCTGCATTTCTAAATGACTCTGTAGAAATCTTTCTGAAAAGCACCTAACTGCTCCTCTTGTCAGATGTGAAGGTAGTATTTTTACACAGTGTTATCTCTAAAATCGGCTGTACTTATACACTATGACTCCAGTTAACATCAGATAGCCTCCTCCCTATCTGGCTATAAGTTCTAGTAATATCACTCCTTTCTATAGTCTCTTCAGTCTAACAGAGACAGTAGCATTTCACAATTGTTAATCTTTAGGCCATCTATCTCCTATGTTAGTCCTCTGGCACAGAAGTATTTTAATATTTTTTAATCTAGTATTAAAGTGGCCACAAGTTAAATTTCTTATATAATTTTCTGTTATATTATTTACACAATTCATTTGCAATTGACAGATTGTCCTCCTTTCCCTGATTACTGCTTAATGTTAGAAATCTTTTAGAGATGTTATTTCTTTTGTTGAAATATTTTCTTCCTCATCTATCCAAATTCTATCTACCATTTCAGATCCAGATCCTATTTATGTTTCTTGGAAAATACTCGCATCACTCTTTCCCATGATTTAATTCATCATATAATCACACACCACATAACAATATTTTGGTCAATGATATACCTCATATACATTGGGGATCCTATGAGATTATAATACTGTATTTTACTATACTTTTTCTATATTTAGACATGTTTAGATACACAAATATTTACCATTGTGTTACGGTTGCCTACACCAATCAGTATGGTAACATTCTGTATAAGTTTGTAACCTAGGAGCAATGGGTTATACCATCTAGCATAGGTGTGTAGTTTGTTTTAGCATCTAGGTTTGCGTAAGTATACGTTATGATGTTTGCACAACAACCAAGTTGCCTAAATAAACCTGTCATTAAGTGACACATGACTGAATTTAATCTCTCAACCCCTCTCTGTTTCATAGCACTTTCTATATCCTCATATTACAGTGTACAAAATATTGTGCTATGCTTTTCCATAATAAACCCAAAGCCTTTTTGTAGTGCTTAATAATAAACTATTATAAAGTGTGAGGTTTTCCAGGATGATATATGTCATGGTCTATTATAGTTAGCATATAATAGAAAATAGATGTGTTTTTGTTTAATAGAGCTGCATTGCTCACTGGTTATCATGTTGTGTTGCAAATTCTTTCACATTTGTGTCTTATTCCTTCAATTTCAAGAATAATATAAATTAAAAAGGAAGAAATTATGTCAAACAGAAGTTTATGTATACTAAGCACTTGTCAATATACTGCATAAGAGTAATTGCCTATATGAAAGATTTCTTAACAGTCATTGTCATTATTTTCTCAATATAAGTTTAGAAAAAGGTGTTGTGAATCATGAGAAAATCAAAAAATTTTAAGTTGGAAATAAGTAATAAAACAGCAAAATATACTTTGCTCTCATTATTGACTAATTTCTTCTTTGGTTTAGAATTAGTACACATTACTTTATTAAGACATTCATCAAATGTTGATGAATGTTTACTATGTCTTATATATAGATATTAAACAAATTATGACAAAGATGGATGATTATTTTAAAATGGAGTCATTTAACATAAGAATTTTGTTATGTGAGAAACCATAATAAAGTGACCTGACCTAAACTTGTGGAGGAATGGGTCACAGATTAATTCCCTTGAGCTAGAAACTTTAAGATGTGTTGTGGAAAATAAATAATTTTTCTCCATACAAAGGGAGTGTGAGTGAAAATAGTAGACAGACAAAATAGCATCTGCTGCTATAAAGCAAATGCCTTTGAATAACTGAAAGTTGACCTGAATGCCTGAGTTACAAATATCATAGAGAAATATAGTGTAGAAAGTGTCCAGAAGAAGGGGCTGAAACGTTATATCTAAGAGCATAACACATAAGAAATTAATAATTTGCTTTCTATCCTATGAACGAAGAAAAGTTACTGCATAATGTTAAATAGGCAATATAAACAGATTTGTGTTTTGAAAATATGGCCTCAATGAAACAAACAAACAAAAAAACAAATTCTAGAATTATTAACATGCTCTGGAGAAAACCAAATATTGGTCTCTGGCTCTAGTTCATATAAGAGACAGCAGCAGCCTTGATTAAGATGTTGTCCAAAAAGTTGTAGAGAAGGTTGTAGAAGAGAATTTGACACACTTGACAGATATTTAAAAGCGAGAGTTGACTAGAATTGGTGATAAGTTTAGATGTGGAGGGAGCTGAGGAAGAAGACACAAATATAAAAAAAAATAGGGTTGGTTTTAAAATTTACTGAGCAACAAAATCCTAAGTAAGGAATATATTTGGTGGACAGAATTACGTGTTAAATCTGATACATGGTAAGTTTTAGGAATATATGAGGTATCCCATTTGATATACTGAGTAGACAATTGGATATAAACTTAGAGGAGAGGCCTGAGACAGCCAATTAAAATGTGAGTTTATTAATCCAACTCACATTGTTATGAGATTTTTGAGTGTCAGTTTTCTGGCCAGAAACCTCTGTGGTCAGTGGCGCCTTTGCCTGACCTTTGCTCGAGCCACTGGGCTCATTCCGCTCACTCGGCCTGGCAGCCTGCACTCGACTCACGCTACTGGCCTGGATTGCACTCCTAACTAGTGTGGGCCAGGTGTGGAGCAATGAGGGGTGTGTGAGGAGCGTGGGGTCTGGCCACTGTACAGTCAGGCATGCCGGCTGCTGCAGGGGGCAGGCAGCTCTAAGTGCTGGAATGGGTACCAGCTCTCTACAAGGCTGCAGCTGGACCAGGTTCTCTGCAAGCAGCTTTCCCAGCTGGCACCAAGAAATGCAGTGGTGTATGGATGCTTGGGGATGCCAGGCACCAGAGGAACCCAAAGCAGAGTCACAGCACTGGTTTGGGGATCTCCCAGTTCTGGGCTCTTGAGGGGCCACAGGTCTTCTTTCCTTCTCTTCCCCAGCAATGTGGGGGGCAAGGAGAATGTTTCAGTACTGTTTGTGTTGTGTTATAGCTCTTTTAGCTCTGCCGTATGGCAGGTCCTGAGTTCTTGACCTGTGACCAGGAAGAATGAGGTACTCAGTTGAGTGGAGGGTGAGCAAGATGAAGAGGCCTTTATTGAGCAATAGAACAGCTTACAGGCCCTCAGGGGGTAGCTCCTTTCTGCAGCCAGGGTGACCCCATGAGTGTTCAGCTCCTAGCAGAGAAGAGACCCTCAGGTCAGACACTCCTCTCTATAGGCAGGTTGTCCTATCATCTTCCCAGCTTTCAGCAGACAGGAGGCCCTAGAGTGGGTTGCTCACCTCTGCAGCTAGTAGTCTCGATGTCTCTGCAGGCCTCTGAAACTCTCAGTAGAGAGGAGCCCCTAGAGTGAATACCTCCTCTCTGCAGCTGGTTGTCCTGTCACCTGTTCAGCTCTGGTTGAACCTGAGGATTTTATGGGCCACAGAGGGGAGGAAGTGCATGCCAATTGGTCCATGGGTGGACCTGGATAAGGGACCACAAGTTCCCACTCTGGTGTACAGGTCCTGCAGCCTTGCCCCAGCCTTCAGGCCCTACCTGGCATGAAGGTGGGGCTTCACCGGGGACCCATCCACTTCTGCCCAGGAATCTATCTGCCTCCTGCTGCTTTTCATGGCAGCAGGGCTCAGCCCCAACTTTGCTTCAAGATCGGTGTGGATGCCCACAGTAGGGAGAAGCCAGGCAGCAGGAGCAGACAATTCTGATCCTGTGAGGGTAGCGGGGGCTTCCGATAACCCTAAGAGTGCAGGGATGCCCGAGTTTGGGTGGCTGCAGCTGCACCCAGGAGAGCAAGACTCCTGCCTGCTCCCAGTACCCCAAGAACACAGGGAGGTTCAGATCTGAAGCCACAACTTGGGCAGCTGCAGCCCCACCAAGGAGGGCAGAGCTCCTCCCTGCTCGATCGAGTGAGAAGTCCAGGTCCACAGCCATGTTTTGGGTGGCTTCAGTGGCACCTGAAAGCTCTCACCTCATCTTGGAAGGGGTGGGGCTCCCGTTTGTTCCTGGTGGCTCCACAGGCAGCTGCCGTGATAAACATCATGAATATGAATAATATCAGCAACGAAGTCAGAAAAGTGTAGGCATCATAACATTGAGGAAATTCCACATTCCATGGTTGAAGTGACTAAAGGAAGTCAGTAAAATGGAAAAAAAAAGGAGCTTACAGAGAAAAATAACCAAAAAAAGTAAAAGTGCAATTACATAAGTCACTGAGAGTAATTAAAAAAATAAAATAAAATAAAATAAATTTTAAAAAAAGAAAGAAAAAAGAAAGAAGAAAGAAGGAAGGAAAAAAGAGAGAAAGATAAAATTGTTTATTGTATTATCAACATTTAAGTCACTGGTGATTTCTCTTTTGAAGTGTAGTGTTATGATGAATGAGTATGAAGTGAATAAATGGATCTGATAATATAAAACGTACTTTGAGAAGCTTGGATGTGTACCGAAGACAAGGTATAAATCCATAAAGGAAGAGATATATTGTTTTAAATGGAGAAAATGTTTAAAAAGCATATCTTACCTCAGCTTTTGCTTCTGTTTTTAGTTAACGTACTGTGTGTTTTGATATAATATTTTGCCCCAAGTGCTTGAGGGTACTTAGTTTGGCTTGCCACGTTTTTCAGCAATGTCCTCTGTTTTTCTCAACTGAGTTTCCAGTTAGAAAAAGCACAGAGAAACATCTTGCATTATGCCTTTAGGTAGTGCCATGTCACAGAACAGATAGGTGGAAGGTGGAGCTGTATAGGACCAGAGTTTTTGTATGCCATTGAAGTAAAGGTAACACCTATTTGAACTATATTGTTATAAATTGAAGATGTTAAATGCAATCTCCATGGTAATCACAAAGATAATACCTATAAAAAAGACACAAAAGGAAATGAGAAGGAAATTCAAATGGTTCACCACAAAAAATCAACTAAACACAAAAGAAACCAGTGATAGAAAAAATGAGAAACAAAAAGGCATAAGTCTTATAAAAACAAATAGCGAATGGCAAAAGTAAGCCCCTCCTTAAAAATAGTTATTTTAAAGGTAGTGGATTAAACTCACCAATCCACAGTTAAATATTGGAAGAATATATAAAATGAACAAATACATTGTCCAATTACATGCTGTCCAACTACATGCTGTCTATAAGGGAGTCATTTAAAATCTAAAAGCATAGAATGAAAATGAAAGACTTAAAAATGTATTCCTTGTAATTGGTAACTAAAAGAGAGCTAGGGTGGCTACATAAATATCAAACAAGTTAGATTTTTAATCAAAAAAGTCTACAAAAGACAAGTAAGTCTATTATATATTGAGAAAAGTTAATTTCATAAGGATCTAAGTATAAACATACATGCACCAACAATGGAGTCTCAAAATATTTAAATCAAACATGAACAGAGTTGAAGGGAAAATTGGACAGTAGTGCAATAACAGATGGAGACTTCAATATGGCACTTTCAATAATAGATGCAACATTTAGACAGAAGATCTAAATGGAAATACAGGGTTTAGACATTATAGACCAACTAGACTTAAGAGACACATAAAATATTCCACTTAGCAACATCAGGGATACATTATTATCAAGGGCTCAGTAAGTATTCTATAAAGTAGAACATATGTTAGCCTACACAATAAACCCAATAATATAAAGATCAAAAATCATACAAAGTATCTTTTCTTACTACAAGTGAATGAAGCTATAAATCAATAACAGAAAGAAACTGGGAAATTCAAAAAATATGTGGAGGATAAACAGCACACTATTAAGCAACCAATCATCCAAAACAGAGATCAGAAAGTAAATTAGAAAATAAATGTGAAAACAAAACCTACCAAAACTTGTAGAATGAAGCAAAGACAACTTTCAGTGAAAAATTTTTAGCTGTAAATGTTTAGATTAAAAATTAAAATAAATAAATAACCAAATTTTACATCTTGAAAAAATTTAGTTCTGTTTATGTGATTGAATAACAAAGATGTGGTACGTATACATTTATTGATTTGCGTTACATTGAACCAACCTTGCATCCCTGGGATGACACCTTGAAACTTGGTTATGGTGGATTAGCTTTTTGATGTGCTGCTGGATTTGGTTTGCAAATATGTTTTTTTTGAGGATTTTTGCATCAATGTTCATCAAGGATATCGGCCTGAAGTTTTCTTTTTTTGTTGTATCTCTGCCAGGTTTTGGTATCAGGATGTTGCTAGCCTCATAGAATGAGTTAGAAAGGAGTCTCTCCTGCTCAAGTTCCTAGAATAGATTCAGTAGGGGTGGTACCAGTTCTTATTTATACATTTGGTAGATATTGAAGGAACTTACTACAAAATGATAAGAGCCATCAATGAGAAACTCACAGCTAACATTATACTGAATG
Organism: Homo sapiens; assembly: GCF_000001405.40. Lineage (NCBI taxonomy): Eukaryota > Metazoa > Chordata > Mammalia > Primates > Hominidae > Homo > Homo sapiens. Next base: position 119,347,751 of record NC_000007.14, on the reverse strand, counting down.
GACAAAAGCTAGAAGCATTCCTTTTGAAACCTGGAACACCATAAGAATGTCCTCTCTCACCCCTCCTATTAAACATATTACTGGACGACTTAGCCAGAGGTATTAGGTAAGAGAAAGAAATAAAAGACATGCAAATAGAAACAGAGAAAGTATAACTATTCCTATTTGCAGATGATATCATTCTATACCAAAAAAAACAAAACAAAACAAAACCCATACTCTCTGCCCCAAAGCCCCTTGATCTGACAATGTCAGCAAAGTTTCAGGTCACAAAATCAATGTACAAAAATTATTAGCATTTCTATACACCAAAAGTATCTAAGTCAAAAGCCAAATCAAGAATGCAATCCCATTCATAATAGCCACATAAATGGATAAAATACCTAGGAAAACAGCTAACCAAGGAGGTGAAAGACCTCTATGATGAGCATTACAGCACACCATTCAGAGAAAACAGAGATGACACAAACAAATGGAAAAACATTCCATGCTCATGGATAGGAAGAATCGATATTGTTAAAGTGACCATACTACCCAAATCAATTTACAGATTCAGTAGTATTCTTATCAAATTACCAATAACGTTCTTCACAGAATTGGAAAAAAAACTATTTTAAAATTCATATGGAACCACAAAAGAGCCTGGATAGCCAGACAATCCTAAGCAAAAAAGAACAAAGCTGGAGGCATCACATTACCCGACTTTGTCATATACAAAGCTATAGTAACTAAAACAGCATGGTACTATTACAAAAACAGAATCAGAAAAATAGAGCAGAATAGAGAGCCCAGAAGTAATGCCACACACCCACAACCCTCTGATCTTCAACAAGATTGATAAAAACAAGCAATGGGGAAAGGACTGTATTCAATAAATGGTGCCTGGAATAACTGGCTAGCCATATGTGGAAGATTAAAACTAGATCTCTTCATTTTACCATATGCAAAAGCCAACTTAAGATGGATTAAAGACTTAAATGTAAAACCTTAAACTATAAAAACCCTGGAGGATAACCTGGAAAATACCATTCTGGACATATGACCTGGCAAAAATTTCATGATGAAGATACCAAAAGCAATTGCAACAAAACCAAAACTTGACAAATGAGATGTAAACTAAAGATCTTCTGCACAGTGAAAGAAACTGTCAACAGAGTAGACAGACAACCTCCAAAATGAAAGAAAATATTTGCAACCTATGCTTCAGATGAAGGTCTAATATCAAGCATCAATAAGAAATTTAAACAAATTAACAAGCAAAAAGAAAACAATCCCATTAAAAAGTATACAAAGGGCATTAACAAATACTGCACAAAAGAAGACATACGCGTGGCCAACAAGCCCATGAAAACATGCTCAACACCATTTGAGAAATGCAGATTAAAACCACAATGAGATACAATCTCACATCAATCACAATGACTATTATCAAAAAGCCAGAAAATAAATGATGCTGCCAAGGTGGTGGAGAAAAGAGAACACTTTTACACTGCCAGTGGTAATGTAAATTAGATCGGCCATTGTGGAAAGCAGTTTGGTGACTTCTCAAAGAACTTAACAGAATTACCATTTGACCCAGCGATCCCATTATTGGATATACACCCAAAGGAACATAGATTCTTCTACTATCAAAACACTTGCACATGTATGTTCATAGCAGCACTGCTCACAATAACAAAGACATGGAATAAACCTATGTGCCCATCAATGCTGGATTGAATAAGAAAGATGTGGTACATAGACTCCATGGAATACGATCCAGCCATAAAAAAAAAAAAAGAATGAGATCAAGTCATTTGCAAGAACATAAATAGAGCTGAAGGACATTATCCTAAACAAACTAACACAGGAACAGAAAACAAAATATCACATGTTCTCATTATAAGTGAGAGATAATTATTGAGTACATATGGACACATAGAAGGGAATGGACACTGGAAACTACTTGAGGATGTAGGTTGTATTTTTCATTATTTTTACCAAAATGGGCAAGATGATCTAAAAATTTATATGAAATTTAAAGGTGCTCCAAATAACCAAATTAATCTTGAAAAAAAAAAGTCAAAGTACTTACATTTCCCAATTTCAAAACTTACTGCATCTGCCATCACAGGGTACAAAACAAAACAAAACAAAACAAAAAAGCAAACATCTTACCACAAAGCTACAGTAATCGAAACCATGACTCAAGAAATAGTACCATATCAATAAAATGTGATGCATAATTTCTCACAGAGGTTCTATTTCACTTAATCGTTAATATGAGCACTTTAGTTTAAAGCAGGGACACCATGGTTTGTGCTTGTTTGGAGTTATACATATGACTGAGAATCAAAGTACCTAATTTTTAACCCTATATCTTTATAATTTTTGATAAATCAGTTCATCCTTTTTAATACACACTCATGAAATGAGGATACCTATTGCTGTATCCCCAGATTTTCTCAGGACTAAATAAAATAGTTCTGTGTGACATCACACATCACGTAGCACACTGTCTAACATATAACAGTGCTCTATAAAGCCTAAATCATTCATCTTACCTTAATGTCAAACCAATGCATATTTGGGTGGATGTTTCCCATCTTTGAAGGAGAACCTCTTCTCAAGTCTTTTCTTCAGTGCGGTGTTTCTGAGCCCTGGTACATATTTCAGATTATGTTCACATGCAGACAAATTCTATGTACAATTTTGCATATCAGCTGTCATGATACTTTATCAATCTAATTGAAGAGGGTATATTTTAATAGAACTGGCAATATTATAGGAGTAATATTGAATCTGGTACAAATTATTGAATTGATTCATTTTTATATTTGTACTACCTTATATTACTAATAACATTTATCTGCAACACACTTTAAAACTGATTTTTTTTTGATATGTTCTCCTGCAGAACACTCCGTGATGACAAGTAGGTTTCCTCTCACTGGCCAGTTTCAATCAAACGGTAATGGCTGTCTTGATTACAGCATGAATGAAAAATAAGAGGCACACATGCTTTAAATCTAAGGGGTATTGTAATTGATTACCAACAGCCACCACTAGGACAAAAACTATATGTGGTGGCCCAAATGCCAGGTTATTTTTCATTCCTAAATTATTTTGTTTAACTTCATAACATTTTACTGAAATAAACAGTATATCATTATATTGACATATGTTTACAGTCTGTGAAAATATTATGTGCATTGGAATAGGGAGCCATTGCAACAAATTTTATTTACTAATTTGTCATAATCTGCATAGAAAGCTTTCATTTTTGAAGCTAAATAGTATAAAATTTACTCTAGTAAGCCATTTTTCAAACAGAAGCAACCTGAAAAGTAAGCAAGCTTTTCATTCAAATGTGCATAAGCAAATCTTTGCCTTGATGAAAGGTGCAATAGACTTATTACCTTGCAATGCTCTGTAGCACATAAAGAACTTGATTAATGCATTCACAGATGACATTGAAAGAGTCTATATTATCTCTCTCTATATATATACATGAATAAAATAGTTTTAATTTGAAAAAACTCTATATTTATGACAGAGTCTATTCATCTTCTTAGAGGATAGTCAAGAAAATTAATTATGTTCTCACATGATTAAAAATAGAATTTCACCTAAAAGACCTGACTTACCATTGAAAAAAGGATGAGTCTATATTTGAATGCTTCAGTGTACTCACTCTATATTAACTTAGATATCACAGAATGAAGTTTACTGTTCTCTCAAAAATGCTTGATAGGTGAAGGAACTCCTGAAATATATACCTTTTTAGTTCACTAAAGTATCAAAAGAAAATTAATGCTTCCTAATTATTTGAAACATTAAAGGAGGCATTATATTAGAAAAGTAAATATTTAAGTATAAATATAAAATGGTTCTTAAATAGAAAGAAGTATTTCCAGTAAATGAGTATTAAATTGTAACTTTATAAAATATTTTATTTATTGTTAAGGCTTTATTATTTAATGGCAACAATCAGATTATATCAAAACTCAAAATCTCCATACAGATTTTTCTCTTCATTGCAACAATTAAGTTATGATTATTTACTCAGGATTTCAAATTGTGCCACGTGTTTCACTTTGCTGACCATGTAGTTCAATATAATCTGAATCAAACTTTCAGCATTCACAGAAAGTAGTTATGCATTTCTTTTTGAATGAGCTAAATGTTATAAAATGATTTTTGAACTTTCTAGTTAAATATTTCTATCTCTCTCCCTCCCCCACTCTATTTGCTTCATGCCAGCTTTAGAGTCAAAGATAAGTAAAATATCCTCAGAGAGGGGCAAACAGAACTGAGGCCAATATCTCTACTGCAATTCAAGCCAGAAATCTAGTCATCATGTTTATAATATCCAGATACAATACATGAAAAACAAGCCTGCTTCAGATCTCACTACTCTCTTGACCTGATACATTTTCATGTTTTTCTGATATTATCTAGAATTTAATACTGAAGAGCTTCAATATTTCATATATATTATACATATATATGTATGTATATACGTGTGTGTGTTTATGTACGTATAGTAACACGCTCACACAAAGGCAACCAGATTGTATCAATAAAACACTATTCAATTCACTTCAACCCCTCATCCTATGGTGTTGGAGACAATATGATAAGATTGACAAGAAAATCCCAGATGACTATTATCCAGAACCTTAATAGTTTTTGTCATTTTGTCAGCCATTCATTAACTAATTTATTCATTTATTTATTTATGCACGGTTACTAATATATTTATTTCTTTACGCGCTTTTTTCAGAAATTCCATGAACAACTATGTTCTCTCTGTGAGGCACTATCCAGGGTAACATGTTGATTAAAAGATCAAATACCTGCCCTTATGGAGACAGTACTTACTTTAAAAGAAGTGTTAACTGATGACACAAATGTATTTTAACAAATGAATAGCATAGAGATTTATGTTTTTGTTCCAGAAAAAAAAAATATGGCTCTTGCAGTACTTTATAGAAATGGTGATTGATGAGTGGGACCTTGAAGAGTACGTAGAATTTTATCAGGTAGATTTTAGAATGATAATATTTAATAGAGGAAATGAAAGAAGCAAAACCTCATGGGGGGATATTCCAAGTTTGTTTAGGAGATAAAAATAATGCTTTATAAAAGTCATTTAATGCCCTTAGTGGCTCTCAAGAGCCATTTCACATATACCTTGCTAGCTCCTGTTTAGGCATATCATCTTGGAAGCTTGAAATTAGAAAGAGTGGTAACATTTGTACCACAAAAATCATCAAACTTTATAAATCAGTGCCTCCTTCTCCATGATCCAAACTGACAGCTAGTTTACCAACACAATCCTGAATCATACTGTTTCATTCAAATCCTCACTTTACCAACTCTTAACAACACTGTAATCTTGAGTGTTTCTCACTTCTAGGATCTTGACTTTTGTCTTCTATAAAACAAGGCTAATAGTAAAAAAAAAAAAAAATAGTGATCTTTTTGTTTGTTTTGATTATTGAATGAGATAATCAATGTAAAAAGACAGAACACTGCCTGTTACCTGGTAGATGTGTGATAAAAGTATGCTGAAATAATACTGAATAACTAATAGCAATGTTTAATTAACAATACTAATTATTTTGGTTGAGGATTTTTAGAAACTGGCATGCTATAGAGTAAAATAAGGCAGTGCGAGGGCAATGTGCTCTAGGCAGAGTGCGTTGGTGCAGGTGAGCAAAGCTCATTAGAGCCTGTAGAGAACCAGGGTGGTAAAGTTAAGCAATTCATGTATAAACTAGCCGCGAACCTTTCCAAAGGACATTCTGAGCATGACCCAAGGGCACCTGTACTATTGCAAAAGTTAATGATCACAAATAGTAAAGATCAAGGAATCACAGAACTTGCTCTCTGGAAAGTTGTATATCTCTGACCAGTTTATCAATTCTATTATAAGCCGAGTTTTTTTTTTTTTTTTCTAAAAGAGAACTTGAAAAGTGCAGTAATATTTTAAAGCATAGTTAAATACTAAAATCCCAAAAACTTAGGGATGTTTTTGAGAGGATGAATAATTAACTCAGGATTTTTTTATTATACTTTAAGTTCCAGGGTACATGTGCACAACATGCAGGTTTGTTACATACGTTTACATGTGCCATGTTGGTTTGCTGCACCCATTAACTTGTCACTTACATTAGGTATTTCTCCTAGTGCTATCCCTCCCCCATGCCCCCACCTCACGACAGGCCCCAGTGTGTGATGTTCCCCACCCTGGGTACAAGTGTTCTCATTGTTCAATTCCCACCTATGAGTGAGAACATGGGGTATTTTGTTTTCTGTCTTTGTGATAGTTTGCTCAGAATGATGGTTTCCAGCTTCATCCATGTCCCTATAAAGGACATGAACTCATCCTTTTTTATGGCTGCATAGTATTCCATGGTGTATATGTGCCACATTTTCTTAATCCACTCTATCACTGATGGACATTTGGGTTGGTTCCAAGTCTTTGCTATTGTGAATAATGCCACAATAAACATACGTGTGCATGGGTCTTTATAGTAGCATGGTTTATAATCCTTTGGGTATATACCCAGTAATGGGATTGCTGGGTCAAATGGTATTTCTAGTTCTAGATCTTTGAGGAATCACCACACTGTCTTCCACAATGGTTGAACTAGTTTACAGTCCCACCAACAGTGTAAAAGCATTCCTATTTCTCCACATCCTCTCCAGCACCTGTTGATTCCTGACTTTTTGATGATCGCCATTCTAACTGGTGTGAGATTGTATCTCATTGTGGTTTTAATTTGCATTTCTCTGATGACTAGTGATTATGAGCATTTTTTTCATGAGTCTGTTGGCTGTATAAATGCCTTCTTTTGAGAAGTGTCTGTTCATATCGTTTGCCCACTTTTTGATGGGGTTGTTTGATTTTTTCTTGTAAGTTTGTTTAAGTTCTTTGTAGATTCTGGATATTAGCCCTTTGTCAGATGCGTAGATTGCAAAAATTTTCTCCCATTCTGTAGGTTGCCTGCTCACTCTGATGGTAGTTTCTTTTGCTGAGCCGAAGCTCTTTAGTTTAATTAGATCCCATTTGTCTATTTTGGCTTTTGTTGCCATTGCTTTTGGTGTTTTAGTCATGAAGTCCTTGCCCGTGCCAGTGTCCTGAATGGTATAGCCTAGGTTTTCTTCTAGGGTTTTTATGGTTTTAGGTATAACATTTAAGTCTTTAATACATCTTGAATTGTATAAGGTGGAAGGAAGGGATTTTAAATTGTATAAGGAAGGTGGAAGGAAGGGATCTTGAATTGTATAAGATGTAAGAAAGGGATCCAGTTTCAGCTTTCTACATAAGGCTAGCCAGTTTTCCCAGCTCCATTTATTAAATAGGGAATCCTTTCCCCATTTCTTGTTTTTGTCAGGTTTGTCAAAGATCAGATGGTTGTAGATGTGTGATTTTTTTCTGAGGCCTCTGTTCTGTTCCCTTGGTATATATCACTGTTTTGGTACCAGTAACATGCTGTTTTGGTTACTGTAGCCTTGTAGTATAGTTTGAAGTCAGGTAGCATAATGCCTCCAGCTTTGTTCTATTTGCTTAGGATTGTCTTGGCAATGTGGGCTCTTTTTCGGTTCCATATGAACTTTAAAGTAGTTTTTTTCCAATTCTGTAAAGAAAGTCATTGGTAGCTTGATGGGGATGTCATTGAATCTATAAATTACCTTGGGTAGTATGGCCATTTTCACAATATTGATTCTTCCTATGCATGAGCATGGAATGTTCTTCCATTTGTTGGTGTCCTCTTTTATTTTGTTGAGCAGTGGTTTGTAGTTCTCCTTGAAAAGGTCCTTCACATCCCTTGTAAGTTGGATTCCTAGGTATTTTATTCTTTTTATAGCAATTGTGAATGGGAGTTCACTCATGATTTGGCTTTCTGCTTGTCTGTTATTGGTGTGTAGGAATGCTTGTGATTTTTGCACATTGATTTTGTATCCTGAGACTTTGCTGAATTTGCTTATCAGCTTAAGGAGATTTGGGGCTAAGCTGATGGGGTTTTCTAAATATACAATCATGTCATCTGCAAACAGGTACAATTTGACTTCCTCTTTTCCTCATTGAATACCCTTTATTTCTTTCTCTTGCCTGATTGTCCTGGCCAGAATTTCCAACACTATGTTGAATAGGAGTGGTGAGAGAGGGCATCCCTGTCTTGTGCCAGTTTTCAAAGGGAATAACTCAGTATCATAAATATGTTCAGGTACTTATTAAAAGGTTCTGGTGACTTAAATATGAGTACACAACAGCATCTGATCTGAAAGATGTTAAATGTATTTATGAGATGTGGATATAGGCACACAAATTTAGACACAATTCCTTAAGCATTGAAAAATATTCCTAACGATTCAAAATGATAAATTGAGTAGTAGAGAAGTCTTCTTTGAATAGATAAAGTCTGATGAGAAATGGATAGAGAATAGAAACAAAGATGAAATAATGTATTATATGTTGCATCCCTGAATCGTGAAAAGGCTGAGGATTGACGGCAAAAAAATTTACCAAAATATAGAAGAAAGGTAAGACTGCAAGGCCATGAAAACAATGCTAAAATATTAGGTATTTTAATATTTAAAATATTTTGAGAAAGATTAAGATATTTAATATTTAAAGGATTTAAAATATTTAGATAAACATAAATATATTTAATTTAAATTTGTCGGTCATCCTTCCACAATGATCAAGGAAAATTTTTTAATGGAATATGTTAACTTAAAATTTTGTTAAAATAATTTTCTAATCAACAAGGTAGGAGCAATTGCTTATTGTTTTTGTTGTTGCTGGTATTATTATTACTACTATATTCCTTCCATAGCAAGGGAGAAATATTGCTTTTAAGCATACATGATTCTTATGAGAGTTATGACTTGCCCTTTTTGTTTTTCTCTCTGAGCATGTCTGAGGGTCAAAACAAGTAGACTTTATATGTGTGTTATATTTATGGTCAGTTAACATTTTATGGAGCTTTTTGTTTTATCCCTAACATGTCTATCTTGTATCTTTATTATGGGTTTTATCCTTGAGCAGATTCTTTTTAAATGATATGTCTTCAAAGGTCGACAGATGTAAGTCACATTGATGAGAAAAGCGAACACTCAGACAGAATGTCTTATAATCCTTCAGCTAAGCTAATATAGGAAAAGCAGGGTCATCTTTACAAGAAAACAAAAGACAAAACTGAGCAAGTTCAATAGCTCTGCTCCTCTTGATTTAAACTGAAAAATTAAATAAATTATAATGCAAACCCATTATATAAGCTCCATTTCGTTTAGCAAAATTAGTATAGTTGTTTAAAAGAGCAGATGGTGACTTTGTGATTGTGGGCAGTACTCTCCAAAACCTAATTGAGAATGCTTCAGGGAGAAAAATAGGCAGGTGTAATATATAATTATCCAGATTTACATTTCACCCTAGACAGACATCATGCACATCTGTTCTTAGATATCAAGGAAAACCATGATTCCTTCAGCATTTTTTTATATCCTGCAGGCTCATCAACCGCTTTGAATATACAAAGGTAGGCTATTGAGAGAAACATGTGAGTTTGATGGTCTCTTAATTAACAGTTACTTCAACCAAAGAGAAGTGACTATTATAACTAGAATCATTTCACATGGAGTCTCCGCCCTCAGGAACTTGAGGAACTGTAAGAATTAAGAACATCCTACTATATTAGATTCTGGGGAATAGAGGAAAAATCTATAATTTGCATCATAAATTGCCAGAATGAGTCACACAAAAAATCCTCTGCTATGCATACTCAGATTTTTATAAACTAAATTTGATCATCGGGTCTACAGGAAACATAACATGATTTTGTGTTGGAATGTGTCACCCAAATAACTTTACAGTTGAGTAAACCAAACCCCAATAACATTAATAATTTTAATAAGGTCACACAGATTATAAGAGAAAAATCTAGTACTTAAAACTTTGTCTCAGTACCAGGGAGAGTTTGAATGTAATTAATGTAATTTCTGACTCTATCCAGCTAAAACAGTAAGGGGATTTATTATCCCACATAACAAAAATCTAGGGGTGAGGAGGGAGAGGGAGGAGGGGACTCATACTTGGTTAATTTAGCAACTAAACAGTGTCATCAAAGATTGAGATACTTTCCGTATTTTCACTATGCCCTCCTAGAAATGGCAGCTCAGCTTGTTCCTCTTTTGGTCACAAGATATTTGAGCTGCAGGCAGCACCTGCGGAAATATTCCTTTTGTTCATCCAGTGGAATTGAGGTAGGAGGTGGGACTTGACTCTGTAGATGGGGCTCGAACAAGGAACCAAACTGAGGACTAGCTAAAACAGAAATGGGGCAGAAGCAGCTTTCCATAAGACATGCCCACCAGTGTGCCAAGTCAGTTTACCATTGCCATGGTAACACTCAGGAGTTACTGCCCCTTTCCAATGACAATGACCAATGGCCCAGAAGTTACGCTTTTCCTAGAAATTTCTACATAAACCTCTCTTTAATCTGCATGTAATTAAAAACAAGTATAAATATGACTGCAGAACTGCCCTGAGCTGCTACTCTCTGCATACTGCCCATGGGGTAGTCCTGCTCTGTAGGAGGAGTCAGAGGGTCATAACACAGCCTGAGCTGTAACACTGCCATTTCATTTAGGCTGTTTTCTTCTATCAGCTCACCTTTGAATTATTTCCTGGGTGAAGCAAAGAAACTTCCTGGGATAAGCTCCAATTGGGAGCTCACCTGTCCTGCATCAGAATGGACAGAAACTTATTCAAGTAATAAAGCCATACACTTTAATCCATGTTGACCAATTTAAGTCACTCTATGCTCAGACAATTAAAAGTCAGCTGAATATCAAGTGGAATAATAATATTAATGAAGATGATGGTGTTAATGAAGCTATAAAATGAATAATGGGTACATATTATGTTTAAGATTCATATATATAAAATGTATACATATATATTTAATATATTTGAGTGCACGTGTATTCATGGGGAATGGAAATTACGTGGCAAACAAATAGTACTGACTATGTACTCTTAAATCCTACTGTTCTACATTGCCTGATATGTATAAGGAAAACTACTCATGAACAGAAGTCCCTTGTAATTATTTTATTATTTTTGTGTTACACTGTGAATTAGCAAAACGCAGAATATTACTTTGGTGGTGACCATACCATTTCTTTAGTCAAAATACCTTATTCCTTCTTTCTTTAAAATATATACCACACATAAAAATTAACTTAAAGTGGATCACAGACTTAAATGTAAAACACAAAACTATTAAACTTCTAGAAGACAACATAGAAGAAAATGTAAATGGCTTTGTTTGGTGATTAATTTTTAGAAATAACATAAAATACACAATACATGAAAGAAAGAATTGATAAGCTGGTTTTCATTAAAATTTCTTCTCTGTTAAAAATAATGAAAATAAAGCCACCAATTGGGAGAATATATTTGCAAGATAAGTTTCTGATAAAGGACTGTTATCCAAAGTATATTATACTAAGAACTCTTAAAACTCAGCAAAGAGGGAACAAACAACCTGACTAAAAAATGGGCAAGGATCCTTAACACAGATACCTAATAAAAGTAAATATACAGTTGGAAAGTAAATAAAATGTGTGTGTGTGTGTGTGTGTGTGTGTGTGTGTGTATATGTGTGCTGGAAATAAAATGTGAATGTGTACATGGATGGGTTAATGTTTATATATATGCTTTATATATGTTTATATATGTATATATATGTTTATATATGTTATATATATTGCATATATAACATATATATTTTATATATTCATATATAACATATATATGTTTATATATTATATATAAACATATATATGTTTATATATATATAAACAGTCATGTCTATAAACAGTCATGCAGCTCATAACAATGTTTCAGTCAATAAGGGGCCACATGTAGACTGTGTCCCTTAAAACTATGATATTGTATATTTACTATGATGTTTCCACGTTTAAATATGTTTAGATAAACAAATGCCATTGTGTTACAATTGCCTACAGTTTTCAGTACAGTAACATGCCATAGAGGTTTGTAGCCTAAGAGCAATAGCCTATACCATTTAACCTAGGTGTGTAGTAGGCTATAACATCTAGGTTTGTGTAAGTACACTTTATGATGTTTGCACAATGACAAAATCATCTAACTTTATATGACTCAGAATATATCCTCATCGTTAAGTGATGCATGGCTATATACACATTTATATGTGTGTGTGTGCTTCTGTTTGTATGTATATCATATATATGTATATGCATCTTATTATATAGAAGTTGTTATGTATACAGGTAAATTATCTGTAGTTTAAATTTTGATAGAGAACATTGTAATACCATTTTAGACATGCAAGATTGAGAGAAAAGATGAATCAATAACCCATACTAGAATTTGAGGTTTGAGTTAGAAGAATTTCTAAAAAGTGTACCATATTTTACATGTAGAATTTTACTAAAAAGAATTTGCGAAAGAGACCAAGTCTTTCAAAGACAGTTCATAGTTAAGTTAAAAAACAAAACATAAAAATGTATTTTATTTAATTGAATTTAATTGTGTTTTATATTTCTCTCATAATCAGAACACCAGTTTACTTTAGGTCAAGGCAAAGAGAGAATTCTACAACCTAGAGATCCTCAATAATAATTTTAAAAGGTATTTCCAGTTTTATTGGGAAAGTGTTTGGTGGCTATCAGCAAGTATACTCTAAATTCTCTTAAGTGTCTTCATAAAGCCCAGAATATTACATAATTTCAAATTGAAGTACATGGACATTTAATGAAATCTACCATTTAACTCACACACACACACCAAGACTTAAAGCAAAATCTGTAAAAATTTCCATTTTAGATTTATTTATCTTTCAAGTCCAAAAATAGTAAAATTGATTATCACAATTTTACCAGACATCTAGTTTATAGAGCTGTTTACATTTTACTTGTCATATTTTCCTAGTGTTCAATACTTCAGATACCTATATTCAAATTGACAAGCAATTTTATCTCTTAATCAACAGTTCAGACAGCAATTTCAGAATTTATGGAATATGTTTAAGATTTACAAAAGGGTTTTAACTGATTAAAATGTTTAAAATTAAAAATGAATCTTCATTGTGTTTGTAATGTTTCACAATAATCTCTTAGAGAATCCTCTTCCAAATATTTCTTTTCCACATTTCTTACACAGGCCCATATAAGTCTTTTCTTAGGTGACCATCAAGTAATTAACAAAATATTGAAAAGCCTTGTTTACCAAAGTGGTTATAATTTTACCATGTGGGTATGAAACAAATATTACATAACTTTTAGATGTAACACAAATATATCAAACTGATTTTGTCACATCTGTTATCTACTTATTTCAAATTACATTAAAGTTGAGACTGTTATCTTGATAGTTTTGTTACCTTTATTGCACTTCCCACTTACTAGTCAACAAAATGTTGAGCTTTGACTGAAATTATTCAAAATATTTAGATAAATTCTTAGTTAAGTTATGCCTACAAATGTACCTTGAAATTCATATATCCAATTTAGCAGAATTTAACTGATAAATATTTGCATATAACTAATGTTCATTTAATTTATATGTTTTATCATTAAGGTTAGAGGAGACATAGTTGTGGTGCAAAAAATAAAAAAAACTGAAAAGCCTGAAGGTCACAGTGGAGTATTTCTCCCTGTTCAATGAATCCTCAACACCTAAATTTTTTCTGTCTGTTTAAATCTTGTTACCACCTTGGTTGGAGGGAAAAATAAGGCAGAGAAAAGAAAATTAAATGATAGAGAAGGGAAAATTCAAAATATGTCCGGAGAATGTTGCACCTACTCAGAACTAGGGATGAGATGAGATATAATGCTGTCATAAGTATGTAAAACATTCATTTCCCTCTTTCTTAGTAAACAACTGGTCCGATTAGAAATCAATATTAGATAGGGATTTGGAGCAATTCCACATCTATTCATTCTTCAGGAATTTAGATTTAATCATTACACAAATCCTTTTGATGATATTTATCCCTTGCTGGATTCTCCTCTTCTTAACCTGAAAGTATAAGTTCTCTCCAAGACATTATCCTAGAAATGTTCTTCTTCTCTATTTGCTTCCTAGGTAAAATACCTTTATTATGCCGATATCTCCCAAATGTATATTTCTTGTTTCAAATTCTTCCTGAATCCGTTCTTATCTAACTACCTCTATATTAGTCATCTGCTTTTGATTCTCTCAAATATGTTCCTACATTCTAATTACAATAAATAAAAATAAATTATTTATAAATCCATTCCTTCATAAGTAGAAAAGAAACGTTTAAAAATCAGTATATCAAAGAAATACCTGCATTTCTATTTTTCTTACGCACTGTTTATAATAGCTAAGATTCGAAAGCAACCTAAGTGTCCATCAATAGATGAATGGGTAAAGAAAATGTGTTACATATACACAATGAAGTACTGTTCAGCCATAAAAAGAATGAGATCCTGTCATTTGCAACAACATGGATAGAAATGGAGAACAAGTTAAGTGAAATAAGCCAGGCAAAGAAAGATAAACATCGCATGTTCTCATTTATTTGTGAGATCTAAAAATCAAAACAATTGTACTGATAGACATAGAGAGTAGAGAATGGTGACCAGAGGACAGGAAGGGTAATAGAAGGGTTGGGGGAAGATGGGATGCTTAATCGGTACACAAAATAATTAGAAATAATGAATAAGACCTACTATTCAACAGTACAATCGGGTAATCATAGTCAGTAATAACTTAATTGTACATTTTAAAATAACTAAATTCAAAAGTGTAATAGGATTGTTTGTAACTCAAAGAATAAATACTTGAGGGGCTATCCCACTCTCCATGATACACTTATTTCACATTGCCTGCCTATATCAAAATGTCTCATATACCCCATAAATATATATATATATATATATATATACACCTAATAATGTACCCAGAAAAAAATTTTTAAAAACTTAAAAATTAAAAAAGAAAAATCCTTGAATTTCCTAATGTATTCATCCAAATATATCTGCGGATCTACTTGAACCTACCAACAGCAACTGTCTAGAATGTGGCCACTTTCTATCACTAACGCTGCCCTTGTCCAAATTGCTATCATTTATCTTCTGTATTATTTCAGTACCTTTCTAACATGTCTCCACAATCTCATATTGTTATTATACACTTTGTTCTCTACAAAACAACCAAAATGATGCTGTTAAGCCATAATCCAGGTATGATTCTTCTGTTTACAAAGGAATCACTGTTCCTTAGCTACTTGAAATCTAAAATGTGATCTAATAACATTATAATATTTTAGTGTACTATCTAACATCTCTTCTTCCCTAAAAAGCAATTGATGTAGTGGCCAAGATTAATTAAAAATAATTTGATAAAGTATATCCAAGCCTTCTTGTTAAATTGCCTGGAAAGGAGTAACTCAAAAATCCTCAAATTTCTGATAGAAAAAACTAAAAGTTATTACAGATGTCTGTTAATCTTATATGTTGCCTTTAAGACACTGAACAAATTAGCAAAATATTAAACCTTAAAGAATGTTCTAATATTCTGAATTTTGATTAGTTTAATTGCTACTTGAAATTACATTTTTAAAAAGAATATGATATTAGAATATTTAATGCTGGAGTATTATTGTTAAGTGTATCTTCTTTTCTTTAAAAAAAGTTAGTATTAAATTGTATTTTATTAAAGGTTGAGTATACATGCTGAAAATAGAATCATAGGAGGTTGTTCTATGGGTAGTCTAATAAGCTGAGAGAGAAGCCCAAATGAATATGGCATAATTATGGAAAGTATTAGCACTGCTCAGAAGTACTTCTGTGCATTAGGAGGATTACATGTTTTTACCTCCTCAAAGTTAGTTGTGGTCATGAGACTCAATGACACATTAACTGAAATAATCTTTCTTATTCAGATATAGATGCATTTAAGATCCAGCAGTGATTCTCTGTATGTTTGCCTCTCCCTGCTGCTATGTCGAGATGTATATCAGATAAAAGAGCCTCAGGTAGCATGATCATTGAGTGACAATAAGATGAAAAAGACAACTCTTAATATATAGTAGACATGTAGTTGCCTAAAGACATTCAAATTCTGAAGTTTTTGGTTGCCTACCATAGCATAACTTAGACTATGTTAAAGTATATACTTCAAATAATAGCAGACTTGGAAAATAATTTATGAGTAAGTCCTCAAAAGCAATTTCAACAAAAATGATAATTGAAAAATTGGACCTAATTAACTAAAGAATACCTGCCCAGCAAAAGAAACTATCAATAGAGTAAACAGGGAACCTACTGGATGGGAGAAAATATTCACAAATAATGCATTTGACAAAGATCTAACATGTAGAATCTATAAGAAACTTAAACACTTCAATAGGAAAAAAACAAATAATCCCATTAAAATTGGTCAAAGGACATGAACAGACACTTCTCAAAAGAAGATATACAGGTGGCTTACAAGCAGTGAAAAAATGCTCATCACTAACATTCAGAAAAATGCAAATTAAAACCACAATAAGATACCATCTTACAGGTGTCAGAATACCTATTATTAAAAAGTTAAAGACAGCAGATGCTGGCAAGGCTGAGGAGGAAAGGGAAGGCTTACATATTGTTGGTGGGAGTGTAAGTTAGGTAAGCCATTGTGGAAAGCAGTTTAGTGATTTCTCATAGAACCTAAAACAGAACTACTACCAGTATTGAATATATACCTAGAATAGCACTACCAGTAATCTTATTATTGAATATATACCCAGAAGAACATAAATCATTCTACCAAAAAGACGAATTCAGTTGTATGTTCATTGTAGCACTGCCCACCACAGCAAAGACACAGAATCAACCTAGGAGCTCATTAATGGTACATTGGATAAAGAAAATGTGGTACATACACACCATGAGATATTGTGCAGTTATAATAATGAATGAAATCATATCCTTTGCAGCAATATGGATGCAGCTAGAGTCCATTATCCTAAACCAATAAATACAGGAACAGAAAATCAAATGCCACATGTTCTAACTTATGTATGAAACCAAAACATTGGGTAAACATGGACAAATATAGCAACAATACACACTGAGTACTACTAGACGGTGGAGGGAAGGAGAAGAGCAAGGGCTGAAAAACTAACCATTGTGTACTATGCTCATTACTTGGGTGAAAGGCTCAATTGTACCCCACACATCAGCATTACACGAAGTACCCACATAAAAGAAGCTGCACATGTAACCGCTGACTATAAAATAAAAGTTGAAATTATTTTTTAAAAAGACATAAAATATGTGTATTTTTAAAAATAGCCTGCTAAAAGATCTATCAGTGAAGTCAATTGTTGAAAGACTCTGGCACACATACATAAATCTTCCAATTTGTTATTCATTTCCCTATCCTAAATATGAACAGACAGCAAAGGGTAGCCATGCTTCTGTAGAAGCGTTTTTAATAAGAAAGGCAGAGCACACAGCACACAAAGAGATAAATGTAAATTGTGGAAAATAGAAATTCTATTTAGGAAATTTTATTTCCTAATCAAAGAAGCTTTTTTTTTTTTTTTTTTTTTTTGCTAAAATAAAGGTTGTTAAGACCTGTTTTTTTTCCTGAGTGGACAAGAATAATGTCAAATACTTGATAAACAAATGATCTAACAGATTTGTTTCAAAATTGTTGGTTGGCAAGTTGTCAGTTCTCTCTCTCTCTCTTTTATTCTTTTATTGAAACGGGGTCTTGCTCTGTTGCCCAGGCTGGAGTGGAGTGATGGGATCACTGCTCGCTGCAGCTTTGACCTCCTGGGCTCAACCTCAGCCTCCCGAGTGGCTGGGACCAGAGGTGTGCACAGTCATGTCCGGCCAAGTTTTTATGTGCTTAAAATTCATATACTTTAACTCCAAACTTCAACGTCTATGAATGTGTATTTAGAATATTTAATTTTAATGTTAAATGGTTGAGCACCAGTAAGTAATTTATGTACCATACTATAAATTGTGATGCCATACCTAAGCAAAAAGACATGCACCCATGTATGCATGCGCGCACACTCACACACATGCACACACACACACACACAGTCATAGAAAGCTACCTAGATAATTTCTAGATTATTTGTTAAGTACAAAACAAAAATTCCTGAATAGCATAAACAGTATCAGACGTTTAAAATGAACTATCAATATATGATTTGCAGGAGAAAAATAGGCATAAAAAGATTTAGAAATAATCACACAAAACAGTTTCAAGTGGTTATATATCCAGAGTGCTGTAATGGATGAGCTAAAGGCGGGAATACTAACTTTAGGTTTAGAAGAAAGTCTTGAGGAGAAGAAAGTCAGGTAAAAATTTTATGAAGCTAGCGTTCGGAAGGTTGCTTAGATGTTGCTGCTATTAATCCCTCCAACTGTTGTTAACAGAGCTTATTTAACTGTTGTCTTGCTCATTTTCACCAAGGACATGTTGCTGGAGTCTAATTTATCAGACATTACTCCCCACATATTCTTCTAGACTTATTTCAAAATGTGACAGTCTGTTAGTAAGGAATGGTAGCATGTGCATTGGGTAAATAACTATAGTTTATATAAAACTATCTGTCTCACACATATCAGAATAGGGCAGTTTGCTGAGGCTAAATAACTGGGAATCTCTTATTTTTATATACCAACACTAATTTTCAGCAGAAATGATTGGCTCTACCCAAGTAATACATACCAGATCCAACAACTTCTTCAAAATGTCAAAAAATATATGTATTGATTAGGTACTATCGTGTGATATATACCACATTAGCTGCTGGGAGTACATTTTAACAAGATTCAGCAGCTGACCAATGTATTTAAAATCTAATTCATACAAATTATATGCAAAGTTTAAGTCTCAGAAGTGTTACGCAAAAAGTGCAACATGCTAAGCTCCCACCTCAGAGGATCATCTAATAAAGGTATAATTTTATCTACAATGTCTTCACAAATATTATTGATCCATGAAGACAATAAATATGGTAATAATTTGTTTTAGACAAACTTTTATTGAGATTTAAAATAAACTTTCCAATTACAACATTATACATTAATTTTAAAAGTTTTGAACCTCAAACAGCATCACAACACAGGTAAGATGTACTCAGAACAGAACAAAAGAGTATCATATGTGGCTCCAAAGGGCATCTTGGAGGTTATGAGAAATGGTCATATAAAGAGTTTTATAAAAATAAATGTATGAAAAATACATATAAGGTAGAAAAGGTTATTCATAAATTGAAATATGAATGTATTTTATATAAAAATTTAAATAATTTAAGCAGGCATTTAAAGTAATCCTTATTGTTAAATATGTACAAAAGTTTCATTTTCATGGAAACACTTTGGGCTCATCTTAATGCAAAGTCTCTTTATATATGGGTACAAGTAAAGATTTAGTAAAGTTTACACCACAGTTGAGTGTTAGAGGTTTAATCCAGTTCCTCCCAGTTTGCCATCATTGTCTGCTCCTTTGACATTACACACAATGCCCTCCTAAATACACAGGGGAATTAGCCAGATATTTTAGGAGTATGTTATAGGCACAGAAGATGATGTTCAAAGGCTCTGTCCTATTGAGAGTTATGAAAGCGCTATATTTGGCTAATGCAGACAGAACAATCAAAAGAGTATTAGGAAGATAAGACTTTGAAGGAGGTGTCAAATCTCAAAGGGTCTTCTAAAGCATGCTGCAGGGAGAATAATGGAGCCTCACTGAAGGGATTTAAACAGGAGGTAGTTATGATGAAAGGTGTTTTTTTTTTTTTTGTAGATATGGCTCCAAGGGACATCTCATAGGAATTTAATAGCCGTTTACCCATCTCAAATTTTTCTCTTCATTTAATAAAATAATGGTTTCAAAATCTTATTACAAACAAATAATACAAGCGTAGCTTCACATCAAACCAATCTTACACAGAAATTCCCATAAAGCCACTAGAGTTCCTTAGAATGATATTACCCTTATGGAAGTGAAATGGAGACAGAGACAAAATGGAAGGCAGAGAGCACAACTAAGAAGTTATCACAACAATTAGCGGAATCCAGCACCAGGTGATAGCAGTAGGGAAGAAGTGCCTACTTCAGAAAAGTAATCAGGAAATATAAAACAGGAGTTTTAGCTCCTTTGAAATGAGATATGAGAAATGAAAAAATGAGAATCATATCTGTGACTTTGGCAACAGGATGGCAAATAGTCTCATTTACTGAAATCAGACATATATTAGGAAGAACAGATTGAGGAGGTCTGCGATAAATTAAACTTCAAATGTGCTGAGTTACATATAGAACATCTAGATGAAAATGTTTAGCAGCCTTGTGTTTTTGTTGTTTTTTGTGTGTTGTCACCTATTTTATTATAGAAATGAGCCTTCTTATCTAGAGACTATCTCTAATTTTATTGCGATACTGTAGCCTACAATAAATCCAAAATAATTTAATGACTAAGTTCACAGTTAAAAAACATACACCAATTTCCATATATTATCATAGTGCAACTCCTTATGTTTAATATTTTGAGAACTTTTTAATTTCTATACAAACTAGAAATAATTAATTAGATGTATCTCTATACTTTGTGCAAGGTAAACCATTAAGAATCTTAACAAATACCATCCTTTTAAACATTAGTAATGTGGTTGTTATCAGGTTTATTAAGCAGTCTGAATACCACAAAAATCAATTTCAGCCACCATAGTTGTATAATAATATTAATTTAGATTTGCCTATTAAATTTTAAAACCTGCACTTTTTTCTTCAACTTTTAAGTTCAGGTGTACATGTTCAGGATGTGCAGGTTTGTTACATAGGTAAATGTATGTTATGGTGTTTTGCTGTAAAGATCATCCCATCACCTAGGTATTAAGCCCAGCATCCATTAGCTATTCTTCTTGATGCTCTCCCTCCCTTCACCCCACCTCTCGACAGGCCCAGTGTGTGTTATTCTCCGCAGTGTGTCCATGTATTCGCATCATTCAGCTCCCACTTATGAATGATAACACGTGGTGTTTGGTTTTCTGTTCCTGCATTAGTTTGATGAGGATAATGGCTTCCAAATCCATCCATGTCCCTGAAAAGAAAATAATTTCATTCCTTTTTATGGCTGTATAGTATTCCATGGTATATATGTAACACATTTTCTTCATCCAGTCTAACATTGATAGGCATTTATTTAGGTTGATTCCATGTCTTTGCTATTGTGAATAGTGCTGCAATGAACATATGCATGCAAGTATCCTTATAACAGAATGTTTTATATTCCTTTGGTTATATACTCAGTAATGTGATTGCTGGGTCAAATGGTATTTCTGCCTCTAGGTCTTCGAGCAATCGCCAGACTGTCATCCACAATGCTAGAACTAATTTGCCCTCGCACCAACAGTGCAAAAGCATTTTTTTGTCTCTGTATCCTCTCCGGCATCTGTTGTTTTTTTCACTTTTTAGTAATAGCCATTCTGACTGTCATGAGGTGGTATCACATTTGGTTTTGAATTGCATTTCTCTAACGATCAGTGATGTTGAGCTTTTTTTTCACATTTGTTAGTTGCAAGCATGCATTCTTTTGAGACGTGTCTGTTCGTGTCCTTTGCCTACTTTTTAGTGTTTTTTTTTCTCTTGCAAATTTTTTGAGTTCCTTATAGACTCTGGATATTATACCTTTGTCAGATGGATAGATTGCAAAAATTGTCTCCCATTCTGTAGGTTGTCTGTTCACTCTGATGCCAGCTTCTTTTGCTGTGCAGAAGCTCTTCAGTTGAATTAGATCACATTTATCAGTTTTCGCAATTGCTTTTGGTATTTTTGTCATGAAATCTTTGCCTGTGCCTACATCCTGAATGGTATTGCCTACAATTTTTTTCTAGGGTTTTTATAGTTTTGGATTTTACATTTCAGTTTTTCATCCATCTTGAGTTGATTTTTGTATGTGGTGTAAGGAAAGGGTCCAGTTTCAATTTTCTGCATATAGCTAGCCAGTTATCCCAGCACCATTTATTAAACAGGGAATCCATTATTCTGTGAATAATGTCAGTGGTAGTTTAATGGGGATAGCATTGAACTATAAACTACTTTGGGCAGTATATCCATTTTCCCAATGTAGAGCCTTCCCATCCATGAACATGCAATATTTTTCCACCTGTATATGTTCTATCTGATTTGTTTGAGCAGTGGTTTGTAGTTCTCCTTGAAGAGGTCCTTCAGTTCCCTTGTTAGCTGTATTTCTAGGCATTTTATTCTTTCTTTAGCAATTGTGAATGGGATTTCATTAGTGATTTGGCTCTCAGCTTGCCTGTTGCTGGATAGGAATGCTAGCAATTTTTGCACATTGATTTTGTATCCTGAGACTTTGCTGAAGTTGCTTATCAGCTTAAGAAGCTTTTGGGCTAAGACGATATGGTTTTCTAGATATAGGTTCATGTCATCTGCAAACAAAGATAATTTGACTTCCTCTCTTTCTGTTTGAATACCCTTTATTTCTTCCTCTGTCCTGATTTCACTGGCCAGAACTTCCAATATTATATTGCACTGGAGTGGTGACATAGGGCATCTTTGTCTTGTGCTGGTTTTCAAGGGAAATTCTTCCAGCTTTTGCCCATTCAGTAAAACATGTATTTTTAAATGATTTGTCTGAAATTTTTTCTCATAAATCGAATCAGGGAAACCATAATTTTAGTTCTACTTATAATAATAATGGGGTGATTCTAGATTAAGTTTCATTTGGAGTATATAGGTATGTAATCAGTTTGATAATATAAATGTTAATCTAAAATAATATTCATAATCTGAAATTGTTCTAGCGTTTTACTAAGTTATGTGAAAGTGAAACAAGGAATAAAGTGCATTGCACTTAAAGAGAGACAGAATGTGCTAAAAAATAAAAATAAAAAAACCCAAAAACTTCAAAAGAACAGAGCTCTGTGAAACAAACAAACAAAAAACTTGCAGAAGAAACTGCCTCAGCAGGTCTTACTGCTGCAATAATATGTTCTGAATTACTGGAAAAAGCAAATCAGGTGAAGCATTATCTACAAGAGATTGCAACTTCTTCCTGCTTTATTCTTGGGAGGGTGTATGTGTCGAAGAATTTATCCATTTCTTCTAGATTTTCTAGTTTATTTGTGTAGAGGTGTTTGTAGTATTCTCTGATGGTAGTTTGTATTTCTGTGGGATCGGTGGTGATATCCCCTTTATCATTTTTTATTGCATCTATTTGATTCTTCTCTCTTTTCTTCTTTATTAGTCTTGCTAGCAGTCTATCAATTTTGTTGATCCTTTCAAAAAACCAGCTCCTGGATTCATTAATTTTTTGGAGGGTTTTTGTGTCTCTATTTCCTTCAGTTCTGCTCTGATATTAGTTATTTCTTGCCTTCTGCTAGCTTTTGAATGTGTTTGCTCTTGCTTTTCTAGTTCTTTTAATTGTGATGTTAGGGTGTCAATTTTGGATCTTTCCTGCTTTCTCTTGTGGGCATTTAGTGCTATAAATTTCCCTCTACACACTGCTTTGAATGCGTCCCAGAGATACTGGTATGTTGTGTCTTTGTTCTTGTTGGTTTCAAAGAACATCTTCATTTCTGCCTTCATTTCATTATGTACCCAGTAGTCATTCAGGAGCAGGTTGTTCAGGTTCCATGTAGTTGAGCGGTTTTGAGTGATTTTCTTAATCCTGAGTTCTAGTTTGATTGCACTGTGTTGTGAGAGACAGTTTGTTATAATTTCTGTTCTTTTACATTTGCGGAGGAGAGCTTTACTTCCAACTATCTGGTCAATTTTGGAATAGGTGTGGTGTGGTGCTGAAAAAAATGTATATTCTGTTGATTTGGGGTGGAGAGTTCTGTAGATGTCTTTTAGGTCCGCTTGGTGCAGAGCTGAGTTCAATTCCTGGGTATCCTTGTTAACTTTCTGTCTCATTGATCTGTCTAATGTTGACAGTGGGGTGTTAAAGTCTCCCGTTATTATTGTGTGGGAGGCTAAGTGTCTTTGTAGGTTACTCAGGACTTGCTTTATGAATCTGGAATGGCAACAAAAGCCAAAATTGACAAATGGGATCTAATTAAACTAAAGAGCTTCTGCACAGCAAAAGAAACTACCATCAGAGTGAACAGGCAACCTACAAAATGGGAGAAAATTTTCGCAACCTACTCATCTGACAAAGGGCTAATATCCAGAATCTACAATGAACTCAAACAAATTTACAAGAAAAAAGCAAACAACCCCATCAAAAAGTGGGCGAAGGACATGAACAAACACTTCTCAAAAGAAGACATTTATGCAGCCGAAAAGCACATGAAACAATGCGCATCTTCACTGGCCATCAGAGAAATGCAAATCAAAACCACAATGAGATACCATCTCACACCAGTTAAAATGGCAATCATTAAAAAGTCAGGAAACAACAGGTGCTGGAGAGGATGTGGAGAAATAGGAACACTTTTACACTGTTGGTGGGACTGTAAACTAGTTCAACCCTTGTGGAAGTCATTGTGGCAATTCCCCAGGGATCTAGAACTAGAAATACCATTTGACCCAGCAATCCCATTACTGGGTATATACCCAAAGGACTATAAATCATGCTGCTATAAAGACACATGCACACTTATGTTTATTGTGGCACTGTTCACAATAGCAAAGACTTGGAACCAACCCAAATGTCCAACAACGATAGACTGGATTAAGAAAATGTGGCACATATACACCATGGAATACTATGCAGCTATAAAAAATGATGAGTTCATGTCCTTTGTAGGGACATGGATGAAATTGGAAATCATCATTCTCAGTAAACTATCGCAAGGACAAAAAACCAAACACCGCATGTTCTTACTCATAGGTGGGAATTGAACAATGAGAACACATGGATACAGGAAGGGGAACATCACACACCGGGGACTGTTGTGGGGTGGGGGGAGGGGGAGGGATAGCATTAGGAGATATACCTAATGCTAAATGATGAGTTAAGGGGTGCAGCACACCAGCATGGCACATGTATACATATGTAACTAACCTGCACATTGTGCACATGTACCCTAAAACTTAAAGTATAATAATAATAAAATAAAATAAAATAAAATAAAATAAAATAAAATAAAATTATTTGCTGGGCTCAGTATATTTCACTTGCCAAACCTTGACAAAAATGTTCCAAGGAAATAAAATTAAAAAATAATATTTATCATAAATATAGGGAAAATTTTTAAAAAATCATTGCAAATTTAAATTTATCAATATATAAAAGGGTCATAAAAGGTAATTGAGGTTGTTATAACATTTGAAAATTAATCAAGTTTATTTACTATATTAAGAAACTCAAGGGGAATAAATATATAATTATTTTTATAGATGTATAAATAACATTTGACAGAACGTAACATTGCAAAACAAAACAAAACTCACAACCAATTAGAAACAGAACTCCCCCAGAATTTCAAGGAATGTTTACTAAAAGCCTAGAATGAATGCTATATTTAATGATAAAATATTAAGTACTTTCACATTAACTTCAAAACCAAGTAAAAATCAAAAACAACAAATGTCTGCCTTCAGTACTCCTACTCAACATTAAACCAGGCAGGCTACCCAGAGTAATAATGCAATAAATAAAAGAAAAAACTGGAACAATTAGAAAGACCAAAAAAGTATTTATTCAAATGTGTCATTATTCTAAACATGAACAAATCTTAAGTTGTTTACAAAAAAAAGTGGTACCATGAAATAAATTTTGCAAGATAGCAAAATAAATAGTTAATATAAATTTTTTTTATAATTGGAGAATAAAATCTGAAAAATATCAATTTTAACAAATTGATTACATAAGAATGAAGTAAAATTTGTATAAGATCTTTACATTTAAACTACACACTACTTCTCAAAGAAACTAAAGATAACCTAAATAAATGAAAAAAGCAATGGATTTGAAGACCTAATATTGGCCATGATATAGAGAAGATTACCTGTATGGACAGTTGCAACTCATTTCCAGGATATTCCTAATGGATACCAGTGAAGGAAAACCCTCTCTGTGGGCAGGACCCTGAGACATGCAAATGAAGTACAGCAATAGGTTCATACTCATGGAGTTCACTGTCCTTTTCATGTTCCTCATTATTCTGAAACAGCTGACTTGATAGAATAGTGGTACAGCCTTGTGAAGACTAACTTACATTGCTGTGTAAGTGGTGATACTTTGCAGGGTGGGAAAAAGTCCTTCAGGAGTTTGTATATGACCCAAATCAGCACCCAATCTATAATGCTATTTACTTTCCCTCAAATCCAGGATTTACAGGTTCACTCAAGGGGCGAAAAGGGGAGTGCCATTAGCCCTAGATATCCACTTGCAAAATTCTGCTTAGATTCAAAGAAAAAGAAATATTCCACCAGGAGACACAGCAATAATTGTATTGAATGAAAAGTTAAAACTGCTGCCATGCCACTTCGTGCTTCCCATGCCTCTGAATCAACAGACAAAGAAGTGGGTTACTGTACTGACTGGGGTGATTTATACTGATTGCCAGTGGGAAATAATGCCCCTACTACACAGTGGAGGTAAGAAGGAGTATGCGTGGGATACAGGAGATACCTTAGGATATTTCTTAATCCTACCATGTCTTATGATTAAAGTCAATGAAAACCTATAACAACGTAGTTCAGGCAGGACGACACCAGTGGTCCAGACTCCTCAGAAATGAATATTTAGGTCACCTCACAAGGCAAAGAACCATGACCAGTAGCTTGCTAAGAGCAAAAGAAATATGAAATTGATAGTATATTTTACCTCAATTAAAAATTGAATTTCAAGTTTTATGAATCAAAGACATTCATATTTATATATTCAAGGTATTTTAGTCCAATTTTCTACATAAAATCAGCAGTTAATTGTTATTATCTTCCTACCTCTGAACCTAACTCACTGATCTCTTTTAACACTCCCTGACTACCCATCCACTCCCTTCCTGGAACTTGCTGTTGTTGGGAAATGTCAGCACTCCTCACTTTAGGGCCATTACTCCTTTTCTATTTGTCTGGAAAGCTCTAGGTTAATTCCCATAGCTCTATAAAGGTTTTACTCCAATTTCACTTAATCATCTCAATTTTACACTGTAATTGGCCCTCATTCCCAGGTATCAGATGATTCACAGATGATTACTGTACTGACTGACTGACTACTTTCTTCCTTAGCTCTAGGCAGTCTCAAAAGTAGTTGCAATTCCATTCTGTTCCCATTGGTGGCTGCCAGGCAATTGGCTTCACCATAATTATGGTCTGTTGGTTTTTATGGCTACTATAGGGCTAGACAGGGTGATATGGGAATAGAACAAATTAAAACATCATGAATCTGTCTGTTCTTACCAAAACTCGGCTGTTTTTTTTGTGTGTGTTTGAATAAACACTCCCTGAATGGCTGCAAACCTTTGACAAATTTTCTAGAGTTCTGAAGAAGTTAATTCTAATATTTTGTTTTGTCAGTTTTAGTAATGCTTTTGTAAAAGAATTTCCAGAAGTCCTTACTCTGCCATTTACCCTAATGATTCATGAAAATTAGTTTTTAAATTGCTTTGCTTCCCCCCTTTTATTTATTCATGTTATTGACCTTCATGTCTTTTTTTAAAAAAAAATTTAACTTGTTAATTTTTTTTTCAGATAAAGTTTTTCTTTTAAAAAAAAATTGTGTTCCTGGTGGCAAGAATCAAGACTGACAAACAACTTCAGCTACTAATGTATTTCAAAGGGAATAAACATGAACTAGGAAGATAGTCAAAATTTCACAGCTCTAAAAAACCATTGTTTGTCAGCTTCTGATAATCACCCTTACAAGGGAGTATGCCTTGATAGATGTTTAGTAGGTCTACTTGACATTTATGCAAATGCAGTGAAAGCATGTGTTAGTATTTTACTTTTATCTATTTCTGTTTAGATAAAATGATCAAGCTGGATAATTATAGATATCAACAATGTATTAAGCATGTTTCTGAATACATGTATACCAGACATGGAAGCCAGGGGAAAAGTGACTTTGATAAATATGCCTTTTTAGAATTTTATGAATAAAAACTAGATTTGTTTGTAGTCTTAAAAAGAAAAAGCCAACTTTCTGAGAAAAGAGTAAAATGACAAAATTAACATATATTTAATATTCTGTATATTATAATACTTCGGCCAGTGTCTGTTTCCTAATTCCCTAATAAATATTTTACTCCCTTCCCACAAATAGGCTATAAATTTGAGTAGAATTAAAGACTATGGGCATATTAAATTATAGTCATGACAACACTGACAACAGCAATTATATGTAACATAGCTTATGAATTGGTTTGCCTAGGATAGGTCTTGTTCCTAGTCTGCACTTACATCTTCAGTTAGTTCATAATTTTATCACCCTTCATGTTCAAAAACACATACAATTTGTGTGTCATAGGAGAACAGTGTTACATCGTTTTGAATATAAATATAGAGAAAAAATTACCCACACTTCTTTGATATCTAATATCTGCTTACCTCTGCAGTCTCTTCTTATGTCACTCTGAACATATTCACCCTAGTCATTGGCAACCTTTGTGAGCTTTATGTAAATACTCTCTGATGTCAGCTTTCTTCTCTGTAAGAAAGATCATTCCATCTATGCACTGGCCAGTGTCTACTCATCTATCAGATTATTTGAAATATTATTTCCTCTTCACTGCCCAATTGTCACCCAGTCTAAATGATTAGTTTCCTTTTAAATATTCTCATAATCTCTGCTCTTTTCCTTCTAAAACTTACTTTTAATCCCTATTATCAATAAATTTGACAATCCTGATATTCCTGCAATAAACAAGCCTTTTATTTCATTCCATTGTTAATGCAATGTCAGTTACTTAGGGTACTAGTGGTAGAACAGAAATACATTTACTGAAAAGCAGTTAGGCATTTAATTTTTCTACATTACATTAGTATAAACACAACTCTCATCTATCTATCTATCTATCTATTATCTATCTATATCTATCTATCTATCTGCATCTAGATATCTATACATATATACACACATTTGTGGAATTACATATATTTATTACACACATACAAATATATATTATTGTTTTATTTTTCCTTTTTCTCCAAAACTAGCAGTTTATCCATTGAGCTAATGATTAACAGTATGTAATCTAAATTTTAATAGAAAATTTGTAATCACATTTTAAAACGTGAAGTTTTCTTTATTTGCTCAGAAGAAACATTTGAGTAAATGATATCTGTCAACAAACAACTGATGGCATGTAACTAAAGTTTTAAAACAATATGGATAAAACAATAATCATGGTAGCATTTAAAATGACGCTTTATGAGATGGGTAGATTGCAAACATTTTCTCCCATTCTGTAGGTTGCCTGTTCACTCTGATGGTAGTTTCCTTTGCTGTGCAGAAGCTCTTTAGTTTAATTAGATCCCATTTGTCAATTTTGGCTTTTGTTGCCATTGCTTTTGGTGTTTTAGACATGAAGTCCTTGCCCATGCCTATGTCCTGAATGGTATTGCCTAGGTTTTCTTCTAGGGTTTTTATGGTTTTAGGTCTGACATTTAAGTCTTTAATCCATCTTGAATTAATTTGTGTATAAGGTGTAAGGCAGGGATCCAGTTTCAGCTTTCTACATATGGCTAACCAGTTTCCCCAGCACCATCTATTAAATAGGGAATTGTCTCCCCATTTCTTGTTTTTGTCAGGTTTGTCAAAGATCAGATGGCTGTAGATGTGTGGTGTTATCCTTGAGGCCTCTGTTCTGTTCCATTGGTCTACATCTCTGTTTTGGTACCAGTACCATGCTGTTTTGGTTACTGTAGCCTTGTAGTATAGTTTGAAGTCAGGTAGCGTGATGCCTCCAGCTTTGTTCTTTTGGCTTAGGATTGTCTTGGCAATGTGGGCTCTTTTTTGGTTCCATATGAAGTTTAAAGTAGTTTTTTCCAATTCTGTGAAGAAAGTCATTGGTAGCTTGATGGGGATGGCATTGAATCTATAAATTACCTTGGGCAATATGGCCATTTTCACAATATTGATTCTTCCTATCCATGAGCATGGAATGTTCTTCCATTTGTTGGTGTCCTCTTTTATTTCATCGAGCAGTGATTTGTAATTCTCCTTGAAGAGGTCCTTCACATCCCTTGGAAGTTGGATTCCTAGGTATTTTATTCTCTTTGAAGCAATTGTGAATGGGAGTTCACTCATGATTTGGCTCTCTGTTTGTCTGTTATTGGTGTATAGGAATGCTTGTGATTTTTGCGCATTTGATTTTGTATCCTGAGACTTTGCTGAAGTTGCCTATCAGCTTAAGGAGATTTTGAGCTGAGATGATGGGGTTTTCCAAATATACAGTCATGTCATCTGCAAACAGGGACAATTTGACTTCCTCTTTTCCTCATTGAATACACTTTATTTCTTTCTCCTGCCTGATTGCTCTGGCCAGAACTTCCAACACTATGTTGAATAGGAGTAGTGAGAGACAGCATCCCTGTCTTGTACCAGTTTTCAAAGGGAACGCTTCCAGTTTTTGCCCATTCAGTATGATATTGGCTGTGGGTCTGTCATAAATAGCTCTTATTATTTTGACATATGTCCCATCAATACCTAATTTATTGAGAGTTTTTAGCATGAAGGGCTGTTGAATTTTGTCGAAGGCCTTTTCTGCATCAATTGAGATAATCACGTGGTTTTTGTCTTTGGTTCTGTTAATATGATGGATTACATTTATTGATTTGCGTACGTTGAACCAGCCTTGCATCCCAGGGATGAAGCCCACTTAAGCAAAGTGGGCAAAGGATGTGAACAGACACTTCTCAAAAGAAGACATTTATGCAGCCAACAGACACATGAAAAAATGCTCACCATCACTGGCCATCAGAGAAATGAAAATCAAAACCACAATGAGATACCATCTCACACCAGTTAGAATGGCGATCATTAAAAAGTCAGGAAACAACAGGTGCTGAAGAGGATATGAAGAAATAGGAACACTTTTACACTGTTGGTGGGACTGTAAACTAGTTCAACCATTGTGGAAGACAGTGTGGCGATTCCCCAAGGATCTAGAACTAGAAATACCATTTGACTCAGCCTTCGCATTACTGGGTATATACCCAAAGGATTATAAATCATGCTGCTATAAAGACACATGCACACGTAAGTTTATTGTGGCACTATTCACAATAGCAAAGACTTGGAACCAATCCAAATGTCCATCAATGATAGACTGGATTAAGAAAATGTGGCACATATACACCACGGAATACTATGCAGCCATATAAAAGGAGGAGTTCATGTCTTTTGTACGGACATGGATGAAGCTGGAAACCATCATTCTCAGCAAACTATCGCAAGGACAGAAAACCAATCACCGCATATTCTCACTCATAGGTGGGAATTGAACAATGAGAACACTTGGACACAGGGTGGGGAACACTACACACCGGGGCGTGTCATGGAGTGGGGGAGGGGGGAGGGATAGCATTAGGAGATATACCTAATGTAAATGACCAGTTAATGGATGCAGCACACCAACATGGCACATGTATACATATGTAACAAACCTGCACGTTGTGCACATGTTCCCTAGAACTTAAAGTATAATAAAAAAAGAAAAAAAGAAAAATAAATAAATAAATAAAATGACACTTTAGCATCTGAGGGTAAGATTTAAAATTTCTGTGAGGTTTAAAACCGTATCTTCTTTAACAAAAGCTGTTCCTCCTCCTTCTTAGTCACATTTATCCGATCAAGAAAAACAAATGATTTTAAAGCAATATATTGTGCTTTTAGAGGTATTATGTAAAGAAAAATGTCATTTGAAACTTTATAAGAGATAGTATATATAGATATGCTATAGCCTATAACAATTAATAGACATTCATATTCAAAGTTAAACTAGAGTTTAATAAAACTACTGTTTACATTAAAGTAAAGCAAATATTCTCAAGTTGGTGGTGTGGAGATTTCAAGAACGTTTCAGTTGTTTGAAACTGCCTTTTCTTTTCAGTGAACAATAGTTTTCCAGAAGCTACACAAAAATGACAATGTGGTTAGGCCACTGCTTTTAAAGCTAGTGTAATGTATGCATACATATTTTTATAAAATTTCTCTGCTTTAATTCCTAATGTGATAAATATTGATAGATATCAACCCTATCAACAAAAGCCCTTTTTGCTCCACAATAATTTATTTACAGAGTAAAGTGATTTGGAGACTAAAAAGCTTGAAAACCATTTGTTTAAAATACTATGTATGTGTAAGTTCATATTTGTGTTAAGTGAAAGATGTATGTAAGGTTGTTTCCTGATAATTGACTTGCTTTTTAACTTTAATTTTACTTGGAACAATGAAAGTATTTTAATTATAATTAGTGATGACAAAAGTTATTAAATGATCTTAGTCTTTCTCAGGAAGAGAAGAAAATCAATTAGAAAATTTCAGACATATAGAAATATACATTCTTATTTTGCAAAAAAAAAAAAGTTTCTAACAACAAATAGGTAATTTACATAATAAGCCCTGGAAGCATATGCTTAGGTATGTATATATTTTTAAATGGTGAAATTAATGAATTTTAAGGAAAAATAAGTTTATCGTAATTTCAATA
Source organism: Homo sapiens (assembly GCF_000001405.40). Classification (NCBI taxonomy): domain Eukaryota; kingdom Metazoa; phylum Chordata; class Mammalia; order Primates; family Hominidae; genus Homo; species Homo sapiens. Next base: position 119,315,106 of record NC_000007.14, on the reverse strand, counting down.
ATTACATATAAAATGGCTCAGATACAATCGTGTATGTCATTCATTAGAGATCCAGTATTTTTGTAAAAGCTATGCTAAATTAAAATGGAATACCCAGTGGATATCATCTAAAAAGCAACTGAAGTTTTATTCTAAACAGTAGTAATTGATCCTACAGCGAGATTTATTCTGTAATCATGAAAGTCAATGGCATTTACAACTAGAATAAATTAAGGTAAATGAAGAGGAAAATTGTATTCTGTGTAACATTTAGGTCATTATAGGCTTAAACAACGATGTCAATCCATGTTCATCAATAGAAGTTATGGTGCTTGCAGACATAATTGAATGAAAATATTATCTCCAAGAAACAGCTAATGTTACACAAGCATAGAAATCATTGTTTTTTTAAACTGCTCTTCTTTTCAAGTTCTTACTAAAATGGATCAAAAATGTGAGCGATTTGTAAAGCTTTTGCATACTCTCTCTTTTGAATTTTAATATGAAGAGAGAAATTAAAATTGTTCTTTGGAGCTACAGGAGAACTTGTTCTTTTAAGATTGTTGTTTTCTTTTTAGAAATTATATTATGCTTATTTCTACTAGTTGGATTAATTAGAATCTCCGTGTTTAATTCAAGAGCTTGAACATATATTCTTGAAGAAACTATACAATTGAGATTTATAGATTCTAATTCTGAATTCAAGAGTATTATTTACTAATAGGTGAACATTACGTTTACCAGGAGTTAATAACAGTAATAATACTAGTAGAAATAGTCAATTATCTGAAAGATCTCCCATGAATGAAGCAGAATTCCACTCCCATCTACTTTATGAGAATGAGAGAGTCTCTTCTTTAAGACAAATCACGATGAGATAATAAGCACTGAGCTGGGCATTAATCCACCATTAAATTATGATTATATATATATTCATATATGTGTATATATATGTATATACATATATTCTGAATATATATATACATATATTCTGAATATATAGATTCATATATATGTGTATATATGTGTGTGTGTGTGTATATATATATATTCTGTCTTTACTAGGTGGCTTTGTACATCTGAGTGGTTAGTATTCTAAAGCATATTGGGAGTTTTCCTGCCTATTCACCCATGTTCCCTCTTCATTTAAAGAACATACTCCTTTCATTTTTTCTTTTGATTTCTAGAAGTTAAATTTGATTCTTTATTAGATGTGTTTGATCATCCTATATAGGCCCCCATTCCATGTGAATGCATTTAAGCATGTCTGTTTCTACATTATATGCAATGAGTCTTCATTCCTGGCAAAAGAGACCAGGCTGAATAAGACTGAGAGTGGAAAGAAAAGTGTTGTTTCTTCTAGGCCCTCTAAGCTGACAGAGCAGAGGCATGTATGTGTGTATAATAAACCATGTACAAAAATATATCTATAAATATTTCTGTATGTAAACATTTTTACCTATATTAATCTGAACATTCCATACTGGTTTCTTCAGCTCTAATTCATTAAGGCATTGATAATTATAGCGTTTTCAATTTGCTCAAGTCTAACCTCCAATTCCAACAGTGAGAAACCTAATTCTCTCTATCTGGCATCCATTCCCATACTTGCTTAATTTCAGTATGCATATATGGTGCTTTCAAAACTGCTCTAGCTTTGCCCTTAGGAAAAACAACTTTATCGTGAATGGGCGCGGTGGCTCATGCCTGTAATCCCAGCACTTTGGGAAGCCGAGGAGGGCGGATCACGAGGTCAGGAGATGGAGACAATCCCGGCCAACATGGTGAAACCTCATCTCTACTAAAAACACCGAAGAAAAAAAAAAAAAAAAGAAAAAATAAGCTGGGCGGGGTGGAACGCACTTGTAGTCCCAGCTACTTGGGAGGCTGAGGCAGGAGAATCACTTGAACCCGGGAGGAAGGGGTTGCAGTGAGCCCAGATCTAGCCACTGTACTCCAGCCTGGGCGACACAGCAAGACTCCGTCTCAAAAAAAAAAAAAAAGAAAGAAAGAAAAAGAAAAAGAAAAAAAAAAAAGAAAAGCAACTTTATCAAGTAGAGTGCTATGTATAGTTATTTTTACCTTTCATTTTACAATCACTACTCATTTCTAAGTTTTCTTAGATTAGCACCTTCTTCCCATCGCATTTATAAATTTGTAATACACTTAGAGCCTTTTTCATATTCCGTATTCATCTTGAGATCTCCAGCTACACAAATGATATGTTAAATGTGAATACAGTAAGGTTTACGTTTGGGGGCTATCAAGTTTTAGATTTAATAAATGCTTAATATCTTTTCTTTACCATTACAGTATAATACAGAATAGTTTCACCAGCCTATGAAAAATCTATGCTTCACCTATTCAATGTTCCTTCAACCCCAAACCACTAGCCACTGACAATCACTGTTAATTATACTATTTCTATGTTCTGCCTTTTCTATAATGTCCTGTCATTACAACCATAGTATGCAGTTTTTAGACTGGCTGCTTTCATTTAGCATCATGCATTCAAGATTCATCTATGCTTTTTAATGATTGATAGCACAGTATTTTTTACTGAAAAATAATACACCATTGTATGGATGAACTGTGGTTAATTTAGACTTTCTCTTATTGAAGGACATCTTTGTTGCCTCTGGTTTTTGTTGTTTATGAGTAATGCTGCTTTAAATGTTAACAGGCAGACTTTTGCATGGATATAATTTTTAAATCAGATGGGTAATTTCCTAGGAGCATAATGACAAGATTGTATGGTAAGATTTGCTTAACTTTGTAAAAACTGTCAAACTGTTTTTCAAAGTGGTTGTATCACTTTACATTTTCAACAGCTATGAATAAGAGACTCTGTTGCTATGCATAATGGCATGGTTAGATTTTTTTTTCATTGTGATAGGTATGTAGTAGTATCTCATTTTGGTTTTAATTTGCATTTGTCTAATGACTAATAATGTGGAGCATCTTTTCCTATGCTTATCTACAGTTTGTATATATTATCCATTTAGGTATCAGAATTTTGCCCATTTTTTATTTTTAATTATTGAATTTTAAAATTTATCTATTTTGGATACAAATCTTTTATCAGATATGTTTTGCAAGTATTTTCTCCTACAGTGTAGCTGGTTTTTAATTCTCTTTACACTTTCACAGTGCAGTAGTTAATAATTTTAATAAAGTTTACCTATCATCGTTTTGTTCTTTCATGCAGCATATTATTGGTGTTGTGTCTACAAGTTAATTGACAAATCCAAAATCATGTCAATTTTTTACTGATTTTTATTTAAAATGGTACAGCTTTGCATTATACATTTAGGTCTGTAATTGATTTTGAGTTAATTTCTGTGTAAGGTGTAAGTTCTGTGTCCAGATATGTTTGTTTGTTTTTCATATGGATGTCCAAATATCCCAGAACAACTTATACAAAGTTTACCTTTCTTTATTAATTTTGTCTTCTCTTTTGTTGAATAGTTGTCTATGTTTGTATCATTCTAAATATAGACTTTATGATCATTTACTATGATATATGTTTCTTCTTTCGCCAATGCACATAAATTTACAGTGAGCTTTGAAATGGAATAGTTTCAGTACTCCAGTCTTCTTCTTCTTTTTTTTTTTTTTTTTTTTTTTTTTCATGGAGTCTTGCTCAGTCGCCCAGGCTGGAGTGCAGTGGCGCGATGTCAGCTCACTGCAAGCTCTGCCTCCCGGGTTAACGCCATTCTCCTGCCTCTGCCTCCTGAGTAGCTGGGACTACAGGCATCCGCCACCACGCCTGGCTAATTTTTTTTTTTTTTTTTTTTGTATTTTTAGTAGAGACGGGGTTTCACCGTGTTAGCCAGGATGGTCTCGATCTCCTGACCTCGTGATCCACCCTTCTCGGCCTCCCAAAGTGCTGGGATTACAGGCGTGAGCCACCGCGCCTGGCCCAGTCTTCTTTAGTATTTGTTGGTCATTCTAGGCCTTTTGCCTCTCCATATAAACTTTAGAATTAGTTCACTGATTCTCACAATATAATTTTCTGGATTGTGTATTGGTATTGCATTGATGGTACACATCAAGTTGGGAAAAATTGCCATCATAAAAGTATTGAGGGGCGCAGTGGCTCACGCCTGTAATCCCAGCACTCTGGGAGGCTGAGGCGGGCGGGTCAAGAGGTCAGGAGTTCAAGACCAGCCTGGCCAACACGGTGAAACCATGTCTGTACTGAAAATACAAAAATTGGCCAGGCGTGGTGGCAGGCGCCTGTAATCCCAGCTACTCAGGAGGCTGAGGCAGGAGAATTGCTTGAACCCGGGAGGCAGAGGTTGCAGTGAGCCAAGATAGGGCCACTGCACTCCAGCCTGGGCAACAAAGCAAGACCCTGCCTCGAAAACAAACAAACAAACAAACAAAAAATATATATATAGTGCATTTATATATATAGTGCATTCATATATATAGTGCATTCATATATATAGTGCATGCATATATATATACATTTATATACATAGATATATCTATATATATATATAGATATAGATAGAGAGAGCGAGAGTATTCCGATCTATGAACATGAAAGGTATCTCCAAATATTTAGAACTTTGAATTTTTATTATTATTTTATAGTTTCTCACATAGCCCCTGTACATATTTAGTTAGATTTGGACCTGAATACTCTATTTTAAGTTAGTTGGAGTAGTGGATTCCATTAATTGAGTTTTGAATTATTAACTGGTCTTGCATGCCAGAAATAATCCTACGTGGCATGATGTATAATTCTTCTATATATTGGTGAATTTATTGTTATTTTGTTGAACATATAAGTCTATGTTCTTGAGGTATATTGTTCTATAGTTTTCTGTTATTTAAACACTGTTATCTGTTTTTGGTATTAGGGTAAGGCAGAACTCATATAATGAGTTAGAAGTGTCCTCTAAGCTTCTAATTTCCAGAAAAAAAATTCATAGCATTTACTTTATAATTATTTCAAAGAATCACTGGTGAGCGCATCTGGACCTGGCACTATTCGTCAGGTTATTGTTTGGGTTTTGCTGCTTTTTGTCATTGAAGGAATTGATCCATTTCACCTAAATTATCAACTATATTAGCATAAAGTTGTTTATAGTATACTCATATTATCCTATGAATGTCATGAATTATTAGTAATGACATCTCTTTCATTTCTGAAATAGGAATTTTAAATAATTCTTCTTCTCTTCCCACTCCTCCTCTCCCTTCTTCTTTTCTCCTTTCCTCATTTTCTTCTCCTTCTTCTTCTTTTCCTTCTTCCTTCATTAGCCTCACAGGAAGTATATCAGTTTTATTTACCTGTTTAAGGAACCAACATTTGGTTTTATTGATTTTCTCTATTGCTTTCCTGTTTTCAATTTCATTCATTTCTGCTTTAATTTAAAAAAATTAATTTTATTTTAGATTTGGGGGTACTCATGAGGTTTGTTACATGGGTATGCTATGTGATACTGAGGTTTGGGGTATGGATGATACCATCGTCCAGGTAGTGAGCATAGAATCCAATAGGTCATTGTTCAGCTGACACCCCTCTTTCTCCCCTTCCTCTCTAGTAGTCCCCAGGTTCTATTGTACCCATCTTCATATCTATGTACGCTTAATGCTTAGCTCTCACTTATAAGTGAGAATATGCAGCATTTGGTTTTCTATTCCCATGTTAATTTTTATGATTTATTTTCCCCTATATTCTTTAAGTTTAAATTTTTCTTTGATTTTGTGTGGTAAAAGTTTAAATTATTGATTTCAAATCTTTATTTATTTCTAAAGTGTGCACTTAAGACTACAAATTTGACCCTGTGTAATATATTTGTTACACTAACAAATATTGGTAAGTTAATTTTTATTTTTATCTACTTTATTTTCCGTGAGACTTCTTTTTTATCCCATGTGTTATTTAGATGTGTGTTAATTTCCAAATACTTGAGGGTTTTCTAGCTCTTCTTCTGTTATTGATTTACTGTTTAATGCTATCATGTTCTGACAGCATACTTTGTATGATTTCTTTTCTTCTAAATGTGTTTAAGTGCATTATATGGGTCAGAATGTGGTTATCTTCATATGTGATCCGCTTGAGCTTCAGAAAAATGTGTATTATGCTATTGTTAAATGGAGTATCCTACAAAGGCCCAGGAGATCAAGTTGACAGTGGTGTTCAGGTCATTTTTTTTTTTTAAATCTGCTTTATCTATCAAGAAAGGTGTTGAAGTCTTTGATTATAATAATTGATTTGTCTATTTCTTCTTTATTTATTTATTTTGAGGCAGAGTCTGGCTCTGTCGCCCAGACTGGAGTGCAGGGGCACGATCTTGGCTCACTGCAACCTCCACCTCCCAGGTTCAAGTGATTCTCTTGCCTCAGCCTCCTGAGTAGCTGGGGATTACAGGCATGTGCCTGGATAATTTTTGTATTTTTAGTAGAGATGGGGTTTCACTATGCTGGTCAGGCTGGTCTCGAACTCCAGACCTCAGGAACTGCCCGCCTCGGCCTCCCAAAGTGCTGGGATTACAAGAATGAGCTGCCGCGCCCGGCCTTCTTCTTTTATTTCTAAAATATTTTGATGGTATACTGTTAGTTACACACACACCTACAATCGTATTGGATTCTTGAAAATCAATTCCTTTATCTTTCGTAAAGCTGCTTATTATCTCTAATTAGTTTTTTGTTTCTGAAGTCAGTATAGTTTGTCTGAAACTAATAAAAATACTTCAGCTTTAAAAGTAGTGTTAGCATGGTGCATCTTTCTTCATCCTTTTACTTTTAATCTGTAGTTGTTGGGTAGAATGTCCTGTAAGTGTCTGTTACAGTCATATTTTTAATCACTCCTCCCCTAAAATATAAGTTCCATGAGGACAGGAAATTTTGCCTCTTGCCAATCTTGTTTTTTGCTTTATCTCAAGCACACAAAATAATGACTGGAGCACACTAGGGGCTCCATAACAATTCCTGGAACATAGAAGGAGCTCAGTAATATAAATGAATGCTATAATTTCAGACTGCAAATAAATGATTTGGTGAAGATTAGTCCCTGAGGCATAGGAGGAAGTATAATCCCCATTATTTTTTATAAGACATAGATAAATTTTCATTCAACAATAAAAACCCACTGAATTTTTTACTTTAAGAGATGTTTAATAAAAAAAACCCCAGCAATCTCTATAAGCTTTTTTTCTTCCCCATTGTTTAATGGTAAGTCCTGTTTGTTATGAAAACAGTTAATTTAATCATTTCAAACATAAATAAAGTCAAAAGTAAAATGCATTTTCTGGCATGTACTCCACTACCCCTTTGATCTGAACCAGCTGTTTCTCGCTCCCTGGAAATAATCATATTAAGAATCTGAATGACAGAATTGTGGCTATTTTCTAGGCACACACAATTTGTGCTTTGAAACTTGATTTTTAACTCCGCTATCCTCAAAAGTTTTCCATCTTTGATCTCATTCTCTTAAAAACTGTATGTCATCGGTGAAACCCCGTCTCTACTAAAAATACAAAAAATTAGCCGGGCGCAGTGGCGGGCGCCTGTGGTCCCTGCTACTCGGGAGGCTGAGGCAGGAGAATGGCGTGAAGCCGGAAGGCGGAGCTTGCAGTGAGCCGAGATAGCGCCACTGCACTCCGGCATGGGAGAAAGAGCAAGACTCCGTCTCAAAAAAAAAAAAAAAAAAACCAAAAAAAAACTGTGTGTCATTCCTCAAATTTAATACAGCCAATCATAATGTATTTAAACAGCTCTTGTGCCAGTTTTCAAGGGGAATGCTTCCAGCGTTTGCCCATTCAGTATAATATTGGCTGTGCGTTTGTCATACATGTCCCTTATTATTTTGAAGTACGTCCCTGTCCTTTAAATACCTAGTTAATTGAGGCTTTTTTCTTTTTTTTTTTTGAGACGGAGTTTTTGTTGCCCAGGCTGTAGTGCAACGGCGTGATCTTGGCTCACCACAACCTCCACCTCCTGTGTTCAAGCGATTCTCTTGCCTCAGCCTCCCGAGAGGCTGGGATTACAGGCATGCACCACTACACCTGGATAATTTTTTGTATTTTTAGTAAAGATGGGGTTTCTCCATGTTTGTCAGGCTGATCTCGAACTCCCGACTTCAGATGATCCTCCTGCCTTGGTCTCCCAAAGTGTTGGGATTACAGGCGTGAACCACCGTGCACTGCCTAATTGAGACTTTTTAACCTGAAGGGACGTTGATTTTTATCGAAGGTCTTTTCTGCATTTACCGAGATAACCATGTAGTTTTTCTCTTTAGTTCTACTTATGTGATGAATCACATTTATTGATTTGCATATATTGAACCAACGTTGCATGAAGACAACTTGATCATGGTGGATAAACTTTTGGATGTGCTGCTGGATTCAGTTTGCAGGTATTTTGTTGAGAATTTTTGCATCAATATTCATCAAGGATATTGGTCTGAACTTTTGTTTTATCTCTGCCAGGTTTTGGTATCAGGATGATGCTGGCTTTATAGAGTGAATTAGGGAGGAATCCCTCCTTTTCAATTGCTTGGAATAGTTTCAGTAAGAATGGTATCAGTTCTTCTTTGTACCTCTGGTAGAACGCAGCTGTGAATCCATCTGACCTTGGTTTTTCTTAATTAGTTGGTTGGCTATTTATCACTGCCTCAATTTCAGAATTCATTATTGGTCTATTCAGGGATTTGATTTCTTCCTGGTTCAGTTTTGGGAGGGTATATGTGTACATGAATTTATCCATCTCTTCCAGATTTTCTAGTTTATGCGAGTAGAGATATTAATATTATTCTCTAATAGTTGTTTGTAGTTCTGTGGGGTCAAGGATGCCTTCTTTCACCAGTCCTATTTCATATAGTATTGGAAGCTCTGGCTAGGGTAATTAGACAAGAGAAAAAAAAGTTATTCCAATAGGAAGAAGGGAAGTCAAACTATCTTTGTTTGCAGATGACATGATCCTATATCTAGAAAACCCCATCATCTCAGGACAAAAGCCTTTTAAGCTGATAAGCAACATCAGCAAAGTCTCAGGATACAAAATCAATGTGCACAAATCGCTAGCATTCCCATTTGTGATTGCCACAAAAAGAATAAAATACCTAGGAATCCAGCTAAGAAGGGAAGAAAAGAAACTCTTCAAGGAGAACTACATACCACTGCTCAAAGAAATCAGAGATAACACAATCAAATAGAAAAAAACATTCCATGCTCATGGATAGGAAGAATTAATATTGTGAAAATGGCCATACAGACCAAAGTAATTTAGAGACTTAATGCTATTCCCATTAAACTACCATTGACGTTCTTCACAGGATTAGAAAACCTATTTTAAAATTAATATGGAACAAAAATTAGCCCAAATAGCCAAGGTGATCCTAAGCAAAAAGAACAAAACTGGAGGCATTACCGTATCTGACTTCAAACTATATTAATGGACTACAGTAACCAAAACAGCATGGTACTGTTATGAGAACAAGCACATAAACAAATAAGAAATAAGAACACAGAGATAAGACTACACGCCAACAACTATTTGATCTTCAACAAAACTGACAAAAACAAGCACTGGGGAAAAGATTCCCTATTAAATAAATGGTGCTGGGAGAACTGGCTAGTCATATGCAGAAAACTAAAATTGGAACCCTTCCTTACACCATATACAAAAATCAACTGAAGGTGGGTTAAAGACATAAATGTAAAGTGCAAAGCTATAAAACTCCTAGAAGAAAACCTGGGCACTACCATTCAGCTCTTAGGCATGGGCAAAGACTTCATGATGAAGATGACAAAAGCAATTGAAATAAAAGCAAAATTTGATAATTGGGCTCGAATTAAACTAAAAAGTTTCTGCATAGCAAAAGAAACTATCAACAAAGTATAGAGACAACCTATAGAATGGTAGACAATTTTGGCAATCTATCCACCTGACAAAGGTCTAATATCCAGCATCTATAAGGAACTTAAACAAATTTACAATAACCTCATTAAAAAGTAGACAAAGGATATGAACAGACACTTCTCAAAAGACGACATAATGGGGCCAACAAATAACTGAAAAAAAAGCTCAACATCACTGATCATTAGAGAAATGCAAGCAAAATCACAATGAGATACCATCTTACTCCAGTCAGAATGGCTACAATTAAAAAGTCAGAAACAACAGAACAGATGCTGGCAAGATTGTGGAGAAAAAGGAACACTTTTACACTGGGTGTGTAAATTGGTTCAACCATTGTGGAAGACAGTGTGGCAATTCCTCAAAGATCTAGAACCAGAAATATCATTTGATGCAGCAATTCCAATATATATATATACCCTCAAAGGAATATACCCAAAGGAATATAAAATCATTCAATTAGAAAGATACACTGCAGCACTATTCATAATAGCAAAGACATGGAATCAACCCAATTTCTCATCATAATAGACTGGATAAAAAAATGGTACAGCCAGGCGCGGTGACTCACGCCTGTAATCCTAGCACTTTGGGAGGCCAAGGTGGGTGGATCATGAGGTCAGGAGATCAAGACCATACTGGCTAACACAGTGAAACCACATCTCTAGTAAAAATACAAAAAAAAATTAGCCAGGCATGGTGGCACGTGCCTGTAATCCCAGCTACTTGGGAGGCTGAGGCAGGAGAATGGTGTGAACCCGGGAGGTGGAGCTTGCAGTGAGCCAAGATCTCACCACTGCACTCCAGCCTGGGCAACAGAGAGAGACTCCGTCAAAAAAAAAAAAAAATTACCTATAAAACATGGGATACTATACAGCCATAAAAAGAAATGAGATCATGTCCTTTGAAGGGACACAGATGGAGCTGGAAGCCATTATCCTCAGCAAACTAATGCAGCAATAGAAAACAAAACACTGCATGTTCTTGCTTATAAGTGGAACTGAATAATGAGAACACAAGGACACATGGTGGAAGACAACACACACTGGGGCTTGTCACAGGGTAGGGGTTGGGTAGTAGTGGGGAGAGTATGAGGAAGAATAGCTAATGGATGCCAGGCTTAATATCTAGGTGATGGGATGATCTGTGCAGCAAGCCACCATCACACACGTTTACCCATGTAACAAGGCTGCACATCCTGCATAGGTATCCCTGAATTTAAAATAAAAGTTGGAAATAAAAAGTTAAATTAAATTAAAAAAATAAACAGCTCTTATGGAATATTAGGGTGTTTTCATTTTTTTACTCATTTTTATTAGTGGAATTAATGTTTCAGTATCATCCATTTCTAATGAATGAATGTTAAAATGGCATCCCTGTGTGAGTTAACCTTTAAGATAAATATTAGTATTAGAATTGTGGAGGCATAAGATTAGCCCTTCTGTTAAATACTGCAAATGTCTAGATATGCTAATATATAAATGTTTTCTTTTGTGTGTTTATCATATTTCATAAGGTAGTGTAGGTTGAATTATGTCCACCAAAAAGATGTTCTCACTCTAAGTACCTCAGAATGTGACCTCTTTGAGAAATGGGGTATTTACAGGGATAGACAACTTAAAATCAGGTTGCTAGACTGGTCCCTAAATCTAATGTAACTGTAATCCTTATAAGAAGAAATAATTTAGACACAGATACAGATATGTCCACCAGGCAAAATAAAAGCAGAGATCAGAGTGTTAAATTACAAGTCAAAGAACACCACAGATTGCTGGAAAAGCACCAGCAGTTAGAAGAGAGGCATGAAACAGACTCTCCATCACAACCTGATTTGGTTTGGATGTGCGTCCCCTCCAAATCAAATGTTGATGTGTGATCCCTACTGTTAAAGGTGGCACCTGGGGGAAAGTGTTTAGGTCATGGGGGAAGAGCCCTCATGAATGTCTTGGTGCCTTCCCCATGGTCTGAGTGAATTTTTGCTCAGTTCACATGCAATCTGATCGTTTAAAAGAATCAAATTTAAACAATTGGGATCTCTCTTTCTCCCTCTCTCACCATGTGACACACCTGCTGCTCCTTCAACTTCCACCATGAGTAAAACGTTTTTGAGGCCTCAGTCGAAGCCTAGCAAATGCTGGTAGCATGCTTATACGCCCTGCAGAAGCCTGAACCAAATAAACTTATTTTCTTTCTAAATCACCTAGCCTCAGGTATTAGCAATGCAAAATGAATTAAAACACAACCCTAAGAAGAAATCAACCCTGCTAACACTTTGATCTCACACTTCTAACTTCCAGATCTCTAAGATAATAAATTTCCATTGTTCAAGTCACTCAATTTGTGATACTTTTTTGCAGCCCTAGGGAACTAATGCATGCATCTATAGATATAAAATTATTCACTTATATTTCCTTCTGGAACTATAGAGATAAATTTTAACACTTTTATGTTATATGCATATGGCAGTAAAGAAAGTAATCTTGTCAGAGAACATTTTTGATTTTTCTTTTACAGTGAGAGATGAATATTAAACATGTGGTTTTATAAGGTTACAGAAGAAAACAGATGCTAACTCAATCTGTGCAATTTCAGCACAGTATAATAGAGTTTATTTGTTTATAATTGGGAAGAATGTAAATAAACCAAGATGAAAGAACATAGTTACACCAAAGGTAGCAACTGCGATCCAGATAATATGATCTTTAAAGTACAGTCAAGAAGGAAATGAACTGGGCCACAATTTGAGACATAAAATCTTAACTTCTGAGGGGGGCATTCTGAAACACGTTCTTGGGTCCATTTTAAGATTTTAAGAAAGTTGGAATGGTGAAAAATACACTTTATGCTATGATATGGCAATTTGTAGGAGCAATAATACTTCTAAGGTCTTAAATACCTTTGCCAAGAAAGTTTCAGAGACTAGACAGGTGGTCTTTCTACACAGAACAGCCATAGACATAATACCATATTTCTATGCCTGATCCAATGCTGATCTCAGTAAAGAATATTATTCCTATTTCCCAACAGATTGTCTGAGATTTTTAAATGTGTATTAGTTTCCTAGGGCTCCTGTAACAAATTACAACAAACTTGATGACTTCAAACAACAGAAATTTATTCTCTCAGAGTTCGGCAGGTCAGAAGTCGCAAACCAAGGTGGGTGTAGGGTACTCCCTAAAGACACTCTTGGGGAAAATCTGTCTCATGCCGCTTACAGCTTCTGGTGGTTGTTAACTTGTTCGGCTTATGGCCACAGCCTCCAATTTATGCCTCTGTCTTCATATCACTTTCTTTTGTGTGTGTGTCTACCTTTTTCTCTGCTTATCTCTTAAAAGGTCAATGATTATTAAATTTGAAGTCCACTTGGATAATCTAGGAAAATGTCTCCATATCAAAATCCTCAATTTAATAACATCTTCAAAGACTGTTTATTTAAATAAAGTAAGATTTCATAGGTTCCATGGATTAGAATATGGAAATAATTTTTATGGCACCACCAATTTACACCACTACATAATGTTACTAAATATATTTGGATTAATAGATACTGGAAAATTAGCAATTAGGCTGACATACTCATATCTGATACTGCAGGGTGTACAGATTAAGGATTGAATGTATTCCCTTGATCTTAGTTGTTTATCTTTGGCCACTGGCTTATAAATGCATTATAAGTTCTAAATATTATAAGTGTTTTTTGCAATGCATCATTCAAATGTGAGTTCTTCAAAGTCTTTAATTATGCTATTTTAGCTTTGGACCTCCAAGCTAATCCAGTAAAAGATGATTGAACACAACGACTATCTAAAGCTGGTTGAAACATATGGCCATAGATAATTTTACCAGTAGTGCTTATCTGAACTAAACATTGCCAATAAAATGCAGTGTATTTTCCAGCCATGGCTTACCAATGATCAATGGGGACAACAAGAAAGCTAAAGAAATGCAATGAGGAAAGGATCTCCTATTCAGTAAATGGTGCTGGGAAAACTAACTAGCCATATACAAAAAACTGAAACTGGACCCCTTCTTTACACCTTGTACAAAAATTAACTCAAAATGGATTAAAGACTTAAATGTAAAACCCAAAACTGTAAAAACCCTAGAAGAAAACCTAGGCAATACCATTCAGGACATAGGCATGGGCAAAGACTTTCATGATGAAGATGCCAAAAGCAATTGCAACAAAAGTCAAAACTGACAAATGGGAGCTAATTAAACTAAAGAGATTCTGCACATCAAAAGAAACTATCATCAGACTGAACAGGCAACCTACAGAGTGGGAGAAAATTTTTGCAATCTACCCATCTGACAAAGGTTTAATATCCAGAATTTACAAGGAACCTAATCATATTTATAAGAAAAAAAAAATAACCCCATCAAAAAGTGGACAAATGTTATGGACAGACATTTCTCAAAAGAAGACATTTACACAGCCAACAAATACATGAAAACAAACAAACAAACAAACGCAACATCACGGATCATCAGAGAAATGCAAATCAAAACCACTATGAGATACCATCTCATGCCAGTCAGAAAGGCAATTAAGTCAAGAAACTATAGATGCTGGCAAGGCTGTGAAGAAATAGGAACACTTTTACACTGTCGGTGGGAATGTAAATTAGTTCAACCATTGTAAAAGACAGCATGGTGATTTCTCAAGGATCTAGAGCCAGAAATACCATTTGACCCAGCCATCCCATTACTGGGTCAAATGGAATATAAATAATTATAAAGACACATGCACACGTATTTTTATTGCAACACAACTTAAAATAGCAAGGACATGGAACCAACCCAAATGCCCCTCAATGATAGACTGGATAAAGAAAATGTAGTACATATACACCATCGAATACTATGCAGCCATAAAAAGGAATGAGATCATGTCCTTTGCAAGGATATGGATGAAGCTGGAAGCCATCATCTTCAGCAAACTAAAACAGGAACAGAAAACCAAACACCTCATGTTTTCACTCATAAGTGGGAGATGAACATTGAGAACACTTGGACACTGAGAGAGGAATAACACATACCTGGGCCTGTTGGGGGTTGGGAAGTGAAGGGAGGGAACTTAGACTATGGGTTAGTAGATGCAGCAAACCACCATGGAACACGTGTACCTATGTAACAAACCTGCACATTCTGCACATGTATCCCATTATTTTTAGAAGAAATAAAGAAAGGGAAAAAGAGAAAAATGTAGACAAACTGCTAAAGTTTATTTCAGCAACAGCTTTCAAAGACTCAGGGATAATTCAATATTTCCCAAAGACACAAATTCATTTTCCATTCTAATGGCATATTCTAATATATGACAAATTTATACATTAGCAACAGAAAATGGATTTTAGATGACATTTCTTTAGTTTCCATTGTGTATTTGAAATTTGCTTTCTGGAAATATAGGGGGAACGAGACTATATCTGTATAAAGATGTATAGCCTGTGATCCACAGTTGCATAACAGTACATTCAATTATTGAATTCAGTATACTAAACAAAAATTAATTAATATTATTTTGTATTTAATGTTATCTCATAAGCAATGGTATTCTATTATCTATTGAAAGTCTAGATTTAAACAGCCTGTTCTAAACATCAGCAGGAGGCCAGAAACACTTGAACTAATATAGAGAAAAAAATCAATAATTCCAAGGGACTGGAATATGTATTGGATATATCATGCTCCTTCCTCTCTCCCAACTAAATCATGAAGCCACCCTATGAAACTCTCCATTCATTAAAGTCTTGAAAGCTAGATTGGTGAGTAAAGCACCACATTATTTAGAAACAGTTTGATTCACATTTTATTTTGGAATGGGAATGTTGGTAGGAGTAGGAGCAGAATCCCAGTAGATTTCCAATCATACTGAGATGGTGGTAGATACAATTAAATTCATTATGCTATTAGTTGATTTTCATTAGGGAGGAAAAATATCTTAGTCTTTTCAACAAAGACCTAACTTCAGCCTCTTAAAAATAAAACAAAGGAAAACACAAAACAAAAATAGTTTATGTCCTCTTGCCAGGTCACAGACATGAATTAGTTCTTAATCTAGATATCCTTGAATAAAATGAGAGCTGGGAAATTTTGGGGAAACAGCTTTCCATAATCAACAAACTTGTTCACTTGATCTCTCCTAAGATGAATTGCTGCCATTTTCTAAGGCAACTCTGCACTATGCAAAATGAATGATCCAAATATTTATGAGCTACTGTATACTGACTCTAACCTGGATCACATTCTGAAGAATCTTTCTGGCCAAGCGGTAGTCTTGGGGACTATGACAATCACATGGTTAAGAAAATATTGGCTAGAAACTTACTATATTACTGATTCCCATAGCATCCCTATTCAAATTTATAAATAGCAAAATTTAATGAGATGACATTGCCATACAATAAAGTTAACCAGGTGTTAATATCTTCTGAAGTAACCACTACAGATGGATTCCTCTTTCTAGTAAAGTTATAGACCCTAGTACCTGGTATGCAGCCCTTATGGCCCTGGAAAATGGCTTTTCTCTGTTCTAATAAACTGTAACCCGTACCTCCTTACCCATTAGATTGTTTTCACCACTCCAGAATAGTAATACATCTTTGTCTGTCTTCTTAGTAGCAGGCACATTATTTGTATCGTAAAATGTGCATTACGGGGATTCATTCCTTTAATTAATAAATAAGAACAATTCTGTACCAAATATTGTTTTAGCATCTTGTGATACATTCAAGAATAAATAAGCTGCTTCCATGGAGCTTACATCCTAGTGAGGAGAGGCCAACTACGAATAGGAGACATAAAAAGTAAATTACTAGTTTACTAAATGATAATATCACATATTAAATTAAAAAAATAGAAAGAAGGTGGAGGGGCTGGAGGGTGCCTGATATATTTAAACACACACACACACACACACACACACACACACACACACAGAGAGAGAAAGAGAGAAAGAGGGAGAGAGAGAGAGAGCAAAGAGGCTAGGATAGCTAGCTGCGATGAATTAGTAAAAGAACAGGAGGAACTACCGATGACCCAGATGATGCTGCGTATTGCAAAGCCTTTGGGAGAATTTTGGCTCTTACTTTGAAAGAAATGGGAAGTTATGGGAATGTTTTGAGCAGAGAAGTGACAAGATATCATTCATGTATTCAAAGGGTCACTTTAGTTTCTGTTTTGTAAATAGTCTATAATGAAGAAAGAGAAGAGCAGGGAAATTATTGGAATATAATTTGTTTTTCTGCCTGGATGGCAGCAGAATAACTGGTGAGAAAGTTGTGAATTCCTGGATATAATTCACAGGTAGAGCCTATGGATTTACTAACAGGGTGAATGTCTCTGACTGAATGTGAGAGAAAGAGAGTAGTCAGGAAAGAGTCTACGTGTTTTTTTTTTCCTAAACGATCAAAGTATAAAATTATAAAGATGGGAAATATGACAAAAAGAGCATTTGAACAAGCATAGTCATCCAAGTACAGTTTTAATAGAGTAGAAAGCTGGGGACATGGGATTGGAATTCAAGGGAAGATTAATGGTAATGATAGGAATTTGGAGAAATTGCCATCTTATAGGTGGACAGATACATCTCATTGTGGTCTTAATTTACATACTTATTCTCAATTAGGCTTAACATATTTTCAAATGTTTACAAGCCATCAATTTTCTCTTTTCTTTCACTTATTTATCTATTTTATATATTTATATATGTATATACACACACACATTATATATATACACATATATCTTCTCCTATAGTTTCTTACAAACTTGGATTTTTCTGTTATATGTGTTTCAAACATATTTTCTATGTGTATCAAATATCTTTCCCCAGTTGTTAACTTTGTTTTTGTCCACATTCTTTGTTGTGTTTTTTGATGAATAGAGATCCCTAATTTTTAATCTAGTCAAATTTATCAATATTTCCTTGTAAGTGTTTTTCTACCTCTTGGGCTTTCCATAATTCTCCTTCTATTTAAACTTCATACTTAAAACATTTTCTATGTTTTGGTTAGTCATTGTAGGTGATTTGTCAGTGGGAATCACATCCTACTCTATATAACCTGTCATATTATTGGAAATAAATCCAAATTTACCTACTTTTGAAAGTAAATAATTGAACATGTTTGCAAGCTGAGAAAAAGCATAGATTACATAAACATAATAAAAATAAAATTTTTATAGTTTATGACAAAGTTAAATAAATATTTGTTAGAACTGTGTTATAAAAAATGTACCAGAATTTTAACCAACAATCACAAAAAGATTACAAGTCTATGCTGCACAAATTATGAAACTTTAGTGAAACCTAGAATATACTGTAATTAAGATAAAATGAAGTGAAATTATTAATACTAAGCAAAACATACTTGGTTACTGTATATTGTGCATAAATGATTTATTTAAATGTACATGAAAACATTAGGATCTCATATAGTAATTGGAAAAATTAAATGAAAAGTTCACTTCAAGCAAAAAGTAATGAACAAACATATGGGAAAATGCCATTCTAATAGTAAGCAAAGAAATTCAAAATAAAGTTGCAATGTTTTGCTTAATATATAAGCAAGTGATTCAGATTAAGAAATAGTAAGGCTTAAAGAAGACATTCACATACTATGATGATATACTTTGATATATCCTATTGAAGAACAACATGGTAGTACAAATCAAAAAACATAAAAATGCCCATAATGTAAAATGAATACATTCTAGAGATCTGCTGTATGATATTGTTCCTATTGTTAACAATACTCTATTTTACACTTAGAAACTTAAGGGGTTAGATCTCATGTTAAGTGTTCTTACTACAATGTAAGTTCACATATGAGCTACACAATTTCACATAAGTTTAAACTGACATAAAAGATACCTGATTTTTTTTTAAAAAAAATTATCATATGCATTACTAGGCTCATATGCCTAATAATCCAACTTCTATGGATTTATTTTGAAATAAATAATTTGTTATGATTTTAAAACACTAGAATGATTATTCCAATCAGATGTGGTAGTTTTAACTGTCCAAATAAAAAAAATAGAAAATATGTACATATTAAGTAAAATGAATGGTCCTAACAATGGACCAATGGGTGAATGTCATATACATTTTTATGCACATAAATTTTCTTGTATGTTGGAGGTGGAGAAGGAGCAATCTATAAGTTCTCACTTCCATGTCTTGCTTCTGTGTGAGCACATCCTGATGAAAAGGAAATTCTAGGCCAAATCAATCCCTCAGTGGGGGAAAAAAGCACAGTCATTTATAAGCAAAGGAACAAAGTCATTCAACTTGTTTAACCTAACAGTACTTAGAGAGAAATTGCTCTTTCTGCCATCTAATTGAGTGATACCAACGTTGTTACTTATGGCCTCCAATACACTGACAAGAACATTGTAGAAAAATCTTCCTCTCAAGCAGATGGAAGAATACACATCCACAGGGTTGAGATTGCATTGTGGATTCTCTGAGAAGTAGAAAGATGCTTGACCAACAGACTACTGTCTTTGAGGTTTGAGCTCTTGTTTAAATGGTTGGATTGCTGAATTCTTAGACATCATCATGTAAAGACAATTGGTTTTGTTATACCACTACTAACCAAGCATATATGAAACCAGTATTATATTCACAATCAAAATGTGTTTTGAAATTCATTAAGCTAATTTGACAGCAATATAGTATAACAGACAATGATACTCATAATAATCATTAGCTACCCTTCAATTTACCAATTTAGATTAGAATATTGTACAGAGCTATCTATACTCAAACTATACTACTTGGTAAAATTTCATAGTAAATCAGCATGGATTCATAACTAGGTATATGACTATTTTAAAGTATTAAATAGTTTATATTATGTGTGTATATATTGTGTTAACCATGAGAGTCTGAATTTCTTCTATTATTTTAAGTGAAAAGGCAAAATGTAACAGGTAAACTATGATTATTAATTATGATAATTATATCAATTATACAATCATATAAATAGGTTATTGAGTACATCCTGCTATACCAGTCAGGAAAGTAATAATTATTTAGAAGAAAGTTTAGATTACAACTATTTTATTGCAATGTGTTTTAGCCTTTGCCTGGTTTTACTGAATTTAATTTTTCATATCATTGGTTTACATGATCAGTTATTTGGCTGTGTCTTTAGAAATATAGAACTGGTAAAATAATTAAAAATAATGAGACCTTAAACAGGAAAGTAAATGCACCAAATAGGTACATATACATGTTGTCATAATCTTAAGAGTGAGGTCATTTTCAAAGAAAGTATCTGTAGTTGTTCATTTTTCCCTAATTTCATAATCTTTGAAACATAATGCTTCCCAAGATTAAGTTAACTGAAATATCAGATTAGGGATACAGTGAATGACAGGTTTTTGTTCAGTCAAAATTGCATGCAGAGCATACCAATAGTTTTACCATTGACAAGAAATAATTTATGAACTTCTTTTCCACCTACAACATTATTCCTTTTCTTGACTTAATTCCTTGTTGACTTTTCCACCATAAATCTGACTAGCAACAAGATTTATTTGACACTCCCTATTAAATCATTACTTTGTATACAGATAAACAATTGCACTGTCAAAGATTGGTGCTAATTATTTTAGAAAGTAATCAACTTGTTTTCTGTATGTTCTGAATATACAGAACAAATGGAAGAAAATTAAATGTTATTATTTATAAAACTTCCATTAAGAATAAATATCCAAATAAAAGAATGCTGAGAAATACACTATACATATGGATATTCATTACCAATCTGTGAGATAAATATGTATACATGTATATTTATGTAAACTAATTATGTTAATTACAAATGATCGTATCACAGAAAACATTCAAATACTAGTATTTTCATGTAATTCTAAAAATAGAAAATAGATTAATGTATTGAGCATATGTAGTTTCTTTTAGTAAAATATCTTGAACATGGTCTTTTCACTTTGTTTAAATATAAAATTTTAGAGAGAGTGGTGTCCTAGTATCTCAATCTTAGACTTCCAACTTTATGATTAAATATGTGCTACACATAATTAAAATTACCTAAGATTAGAGTCTACGTAGTTAATTTAACAATAGAAAGTTCATATAAATGGCTTCTCAAACTCTGTTTTGAAAATGTCAAGGATCACTTTAAACATTTTGTGAGAAGAAAGGCAACCAACTAAGGCTGTAGGATTTTTATTTTATACTCACAGTTTTTAGTGCCCTTAATTCTTTATAAACTAAATAAGATTTATCATTTATTGTATGAAAAAACATATCCCTCCCATTCTTAGTTGCATAAAGTAGAAATTTAGAATTGTCAAATTTCTCTTTCTTCATTTTTTGTTGGCAGAAATGATTTTCATTTAAGAACATTTAAAGGAAAACTTGTTTTAGTATAAATTAAAAATTCATATTGTCAAATATGTTGGTTTTAATAAATGTTAAATTAAATGATATTTAAATTGTAGTGAGCAACACTATTTCGCCACTTACGTATATTGTGTTTGTTCATTTCAGTGGTAACATAATATAACTCATTGTGGAGAATTAAGGACACTATACAATTTTTCTAATGGCAGAATTATTTATAAGACATTCAATTATGATAAAAATATCAGTGATCCAAAATATGTTTTATTTTTATTTTTATCAAACACATAATTAGATAGTGCTGGTCTAAATATAGTTAGAAAATTTTTTTGTTTTAATTTATTTTATTATTTATAATCACTATCTGAGTTTACTTTAAATATAAAAATATTTTGTAAATTGTTTGGCAAAGTGTGTTTTGAAATGTCGAAAAGATTTAACAAATATGTTATGTTTTTACATGAGAATTTTCTGTTGCCTCCCTTAAGTTTCCTTATTTCAATTCTCGTTTTTAAATCAAGTATTTCTTTAACAAATATTTAAATGCCTATATTTAAAGTGCACAGCATATATAAGTACAGTGAAAAAACAAATTCAGGTTCCTGGCTTGTTCTTAGGAATGTCTAAAAGTTCAAGTGCTGGAGACATATACACAACATTTCATTAAACCTATCATCAGTATAAAATGCATTATTCCAAAATGCCTAAAAAAACTTAAAAAAATCTCAATTTAGCTATATGAATTACTTTATTATTTTTTAATTAATTAATTAATTTTATTTATTTATTTATTTTTGAGACAGGGTCTTGCTCTGTCACCCAGGCTGAAGTGCAGTGGTGCGATCTCGGCTCACGGCAATCTCCGTCTTCCGGGTTTAAGCAATTCTTCTGCCTCAGCCTCCGGAGTAGCTGGGATCACAGGCATGTGCCACCATGTCTGCCTAATTTTTGTATTTTTAGTAGAGACGGGGTTTCATCATGTTGGCAAGGTTGGCCTCGAGCTTCTGACCCCAGGTGATCCATCCACCTCGGCCTGCCAATGTACTGGGATTACAGGCGTGAGCCACCGCGTCCGGCCTTATTTTATACTTATTGAAAAATTCCTTTATCATTTGGACAAACACTTTTTATCAGAAAGCATTCACGTGTGTATATTTAAAGAAACACATAATAGGGAATATCAAATAACATATACTTGCCACCAGATCTAAAGCAACCATAAAATACATATCATTTTAGAGATGTTAACTTGTGAAAAAATGTGAAGAAATATAGAAAATGACCCAATATGATTAAGCGAAAGAGAAAGAGATGGGAAAGCCAATAAGTACAAGTTAAAATTGAACCTACCTAAGTTTTTAACCTCCAAAAATAATTTTGATATTACTATCCAAATATTACCTCCTGCATTTAAAAATATTATTGTGATTATATGTAAATATAAAAATACTATTTGTTTATATTATCAATAAAATTATAGAAAAGATATGGAACATATGCATACATACTCCATAAATTTTCTAAAATATTTCCTATTAGTATAAATAAATACTATCATTCAAAAAATTTGTAGTGAAACAGTTAGCCCAGGGAATTAAAATATATCATAAATAAAATGTTGCTCTATGAAAAAATTTATCATAAGATTATTTTTATAGGAGATGCAGAGTCAGTGAAGTGATTTATTTAATTATCACTTGATATACACAATATTTTATTAACTGGACATTTTGTAAAAGTCATATATTCATACTTAAAATATCATTATTATTTTTGTATGTTCTTCATAAATGACTTTAAATTCCAAAAATTGAGGCCAAGATATTAGGTTTATTGCAATTTACCAAGGCTCTCATGACTTTCTTATGTATAGATACGCACTTAATCTTCATTCATATAGTATTTTAAAGAACTGACTGCAAGCCGAACATTCTGTTAGAAGAAAGGAACATGGAAATAAAATATAGACTATTATTGCCAAAATTTCATAGTCAGGTGTTGAAGAAAGACAAGTAAATGTACAACTATAATTCATTAGGTGTTAAGTCATACCTTACAAATATACAGGAAGTATGACAACTAAAATAGAAGTAGTTAAGCCTGGAGGAAATAAAAGGGTAAGGAAACAATATCTGAAAAAGATGGTATTGAAACAAACCTCAAGGATATGTAGAATTTTATTAAATAAAGGGACATGTCACATATTTTTATAGAAAGTAGATTCTGGCTATTAAGTAGATAATATTAAGGGTAGTGGAAGCACGAGATTTGAGGGGAGAGTGATTAGGAGGACACTGTAATAATCCCAGTGAGAAAATAAAAATGAAATAATTCTTGAAGATAGTGTGAATGTAAATGAGTTAAATATTGAGCCTATGATTTACCAGCAGGGCAATTTATGACAAATTGCTTAATTTTAAGATCTCAGGTTTCTTACATATAATATAGAAATACTATAGCTATTGCTCAGTGTTGTTTGAACATTACATAAAATAAACCTTGAAAAAAACCCGTTCACACAGTAATTTAACAAAAAGTAGCAGATTTATATTCATGAATTTTTTTTAATTAATTGCCATATACATTGTATTGCCTAACTCCTAATCAAGTATAAGTTGAACACTTACACATATATGAAGAATGTGACCTTTATTAATTGTATTAAGTGAAAAATTTAATTTTCCACACATTCAATTTATTCTTTCAAGCAGTCATATTTTCTTTGAAACTTACACTCAATTATTACCTCTAATCCATTTAGGACTTAAAATATGAAGAAACAGCACATGATAGACAAATAGTTCGTTTTGGAGAGACATGGTATAAATTTAGATTTTAAAAAGGTGATTAAATATTGATCTTATATAGAAGTTAAAGGGGAAGTGCCTCCAGGAAATGCAAGTAAAACTGTCTCAAACAATTGTGATGCTCAGCACAGTCATTATAGAGATGATGGGAGAAAAAGCAGCAAAATAAGACCGCCAATAAGAAAAGTTCTTCACTGCTAATTTGAAGAAGAATCAAAATGTCATATTAATATAGAAAAAAAGAATCTAAAATTATGAGGGAAAATGCATTCTAATGAAAAAACATCTCTTCATAAAATGATTAACACTTTATAATATCGTGTGCATATATGTGTATAGATAATCAAGTCAGTTTGATAAATATTACACGTTTGGAACAAGTATTTTCATTATACTCTTGTTACATGCCATTATTACTTTTTAACAATCAGGGGAATAATAAATATCTACTCTTAAAATAATCAAATTACCCAATGTTAAGAAATAATAGATCAAATATACATCCACTACTTCCAAACAAAAATATGGTACCAAAAGAACAGTTCAGAACAATACAGATTACCAACAAAAAAGTCATTGAAATTTACTTTTTATAAATCAATGTAAAAACTGCACTGAAGCATAAGCCCTCTATAATAGCTCAATTTTTATGTATTAGGTAGATACAAATGTAATTATGTATTATGCATTAGGTTGATACAAAAGTAACTGTGGTTTTTGCCATTAGAAGTAATGGCAAAGTAAATAGTATCTAAGTTGTTTGATTTACATGGTCATATTTCCGTGATCAAATAGTTTATATCAATCAATGAGCTATATATAAAAAAAATGTTACAGGTTTATTGTATTTTGCTCACTAACTCATATATTTCAACTTCTATATAACTTGAAGGAAAAGTGAAATAACTAATAGAATGAGAGACAGAAAGACTGAGAGGAATAATTAAAAGAAGGAAAGAGGCCAGGCATGGTGGCTCACACCCGTAATCCCATCACTTTGGGAGGTCGAGGTGGGTGGATCATCTGGGGTCAAGAGTTCAAGACCATCCTGGCCAACATGGTGAAACCCTGTCTCTACTAAAAATACAAAAATTAGCCGGGTGTGGTGCTGGGCGCCTGTAATCCCAGTTACTCTAGGGGCTGAGGCAGGAGGATCACTTGAACCTGGGAGGTGGAGGTTGTAGCCATAAAACTGAGTCCTACTAAGCTAATCAAATTCTCAACTACTTTATATGGGGGAACAATTGGCAAAACAATGTAATGGTTACTTATGAAATGCCTCAAACTGTATTCAAATAAAAGAGTCTCAGATTTATTATTATTATCAGAGTTTCATTGGCCACAGACAGCCTCAGAAAGGGAACAAAACATGTTTCAAGCCACTTCAAAGTATTAAAAACTATACTGCATAAGTTATACACCTTGACTCATTCAATTACACAACAATAATTTGATATTTGCTTGTTTTTCATTTTACAGATAAGAAGCAAGCAATGTATAGAATTTAAGTTGCCCAAAGTGTCACAACTAGACAGAAGAAGACTATCCCTCACCATCACCAATCTTGGGATCAAAATTCAAAAGACAATTTTTCTGCCGCAGACAATCTAGTCACCGTGGTCTAGGCTGTGCCACTCACCACTGTATGTTCAGAGATGTCCTAGGCTCAGTTGTTGGCTGAGTAAATAGATGAAAGAAAAAAATAAATTCAATAATTTAATAAAATTATAATAAATGGCATATTCAACTTCAATCTTGACAAAATGTGACATTTGATACCTTCAATAACATATAAGAATTCATAAAATCAACTACTTAAATTTGAAATCCCTATTCTCCCTTGGGTCCAGGCTTGTTATCTGATGTGCTATTAACTAGAGTTACCAAGCATTAATGTCAAGGCAAATAAAAACCCTAATAGAAATATCTGTAAATAGAGTTGATGAATATATGATTATGGAACATTTAAATACAGAAAAGGAAAAACTATATTTAAGCATGAGAATTTTCAAGCTATTTTGTCAACATGACAACTTGCTTGAAAGTTTTTATAAGAAAATGATACATGGATCCTACCCTAAAACACACATATTATGCACTTTTGTACCATTTATACAAACCACCAAGGACTGTGAAAAGCTCATATTATTTGTAATCCATGAAAATAAATGTTTTACTCCTTTCTAGAGTTTCTTCAGTGCTTAAGTACTATTTTTAATACACATATTCCAAATTCTCATTTTTCCTTTCATAAAGATGAAAAGAAAGATTTATCTACAGTACATACATACACATTCATGTACACACAGACACACACACACATACATATGGAGGGGTAGATTATGTAATTAGAAAACAGTATATGAATGCCTAAGACTATTTCCCCAAACTTCTGAATTTTATTTTGTAAAATTGCCTAGTAAAATCCCATATAATGCAGCAGATGGAATACCAACGAACTTGGTTTTATTCCCAGACTGCCACCAGTTTGCAGCAAGTCTTGAAGAAATGAATTATTTTGTCTGTACCATTTATGGAATGTAGAAAATTTCATTGTTTTCCAGTTCCTGGAGATGATGTCAAGGTTAATTATAAAAATATTTAAAATTTAAATTTCAAAATATATGTCTAACTAATTGAAATTTGAGAAGTATATTCAAGTAATTATTTTATTAGCATTGGAAAATATTATTATGAAGACCTCCACTACAGAGTACATTATATCAAGTTACAGAATCTCAATGTTCCTGATGCAATTAATAGAAAAGGATAAATTATTCTTTTTAATTTCCACTTTAATTTTAAATCATTTGACAGCTGTAGGAACAACGTAAACTACATGAATTGGGATTACACATGGTTAGGAGGATCTTTTCAAGGTGAGTTTATAATAAGTGGTCTTTCCTTCTTTGGGTACTGATATGGTTTGAATGTTGTCCCCGCTACCCAAATCTCATGTTGAAATGTGACTCCCAATGTTGAAGTGGGATCTATTAGGAGGTATTGTGTCCTGGGGGATGGATACCTCATGAATGGCTTGCTGCTATCCCATAGTAATGAGTAGTAATGAGTTCTCTTGAGAGCGGACTATTTAAAAGGAGCCTGGCAGTTCCTCCACTCTGGCTGTCTCCCTCTCTTGATATGTGACAGGCCTGCTCCTCTTCTCCTTCCATCATAAGTAAAAGCTTCCTGAATGCTGGTGCCATGCTTGTACAACCTGCAGAACTACCAGCCAAATCAAACTATTTCATTTACAAATTACCCAGCCTTGGGTATTCATTTACAGCAAGGCACCATGAACTAACACAGAGACACTTGCCATATTTTGGCGGAGTAAGTATCAAATTTTGCCTACACACAAGGATATTAATAGGAGAAGGAAAAATCAGTCCTCTGGTCTTGAGCATGGTAACAATTTTTTAAACATTGCAGAAAAAATCCACCAGTATAAAAAAACAGATAAATAATACTTTATTAAAATTAAGAACTGCTCATCCACTTACAACATTAAGAAAGTATGTAAGCAAGTCACAGATGGTGAGAACATGTTTCCAATATGTACATTCAACAAAGTCCTCCTATTCAGAACATATATAAAGCACTCTAGAAAATAAAAAAATAGTTTTTAAAATAAGATTGTTCAAAATATATAAAAGACCTAAACACTCACCAAAGTGGATACCCAAATGACCAATAGACATATATATGCAAATATTCCCAAAATTATTATTCATCCTAAAAATCTAAATTCAAATTACAAGTTATTCTAATCCCTCATCAGAATGGTTACAATTAAAAGGACTAAACATACAAATGATGGGTGAAGATATGGACTAATTAGAAGTCTCACACATTGCTGGTGAAAATATAATTGGTACAACCACATCAAAAAGCTGCATGTATTTAAAGCCAACTTTTTAACCTATATATTATCTATTTTATTTCTGATTCTATATTAAACAAATGTATGTGCTTATGTCCACAAAAATACAAACACAAGAATGTTTATAGCAATGTTATTAATACTAGCCTCAAATTGAAAACAATCCAAATGTGTTGAGAATTGATAAGTACGTTATATACTACCTTGCAATAAAGACATTCATAAATTGCTACATAAAACAATATGGATACATTTCACAATGTTAAGTTAAAAAAGTCAAACTCAAAAAGTATATATACTATATGTTTCCACTTATATGAGTTTCAAAAATAAGCAAAACTAATATTTGATAACAGAGATGAGGAGATCAATTATCATTGAGTGGAAATATCAATGGTGCAACGTCATGAGGGGTTTGCTGGAGTTTTGGAAATAGCCTACTTATAAACTTGTAAGATATTGTCTTATTATAGTAGAATAAGATAGTATTTCATATATATATGTATAAATTTACTAGGTTTATACTTAAAATATGCATGTTTTGCTCAATGTAATTTATACCTCAATATATAGAGAAAGAACTAAAACAAACAAAAAAGTCAGATACAAAATAAAGTTTTATTCTTTCTTATAATGCCACCAAAACTATAGCTCAAACTAAGCTACTGGGTTCAAAGAAGAGAAACATTAAATATCTGGTGGGGAAATATTATTGTAGTCAATTTTAAACAAATACTGTTCATTAAAATATCAGGCTTTGTGATACAAATAAAATATTCCTGAATAACTTAACAGAAAATGTCATATCACTGTATAAATTAAGCATGTAAGTCAGAGTTGTAAAAAATGTATTTGTTCAGGAATAGTAAATAAATCTCATTTAGATGGTTGTTCAGACAAATAACTTATAGAAAATATATTCAGGCGTATGTTTTATGTAAACTATAGTCTACTATCAAAAACAAAGTGGAGACTGTTATGTCTCTATTGTTTATTCATAAAATTAGAAGTACTGCAGAGAAAATTTCATTTTTTTTTAGTAAACATTGTCAATGTATTTCCGAAATTACTTTTCAAAGTTTTCACTTGAAAATATTTGTTTCTCTTATCTCTTCCCTCAACTGCTGCATTTTAGTTGTAGTTCACCAACTACTATTTCCTGAGGGTTTTATATCCATTTCTTTCTCCTTTATGAGACTTACTAGATCTTTATAGAGAGTTTCTCCACAGTGAAAAAGGTATTATAATAAGTGAAAGGAATTATTTACATGGGAACTCATGTGATAGAACTACAAGGCAGAACACTGAGTAGCCATATTTTTACATCTTTTTAAGACTACGTTAAAGTTAAAAGCTCAGCTTCTTTAGAATATAATAATTTTAGTGTTGTCTGTGTTACCAGAGACAAAGCACAAAACCAATTTGAGAAATATATTCTAAAATAATAATCTAAGCATTCATTATTTACATATTATATTCACTGTATTTCTTAGTTACAGTAAGATAAAATTGGCATTAAGGCAATGTAGAAAGAAAAGCATTTAATTGAATTATTATATTGCACAAATAGAGCTTGAGGTAAAGACAGACATTAATTCAATATGCTCATAATAAAAGTTTTATTGCTGTTACCTTAATATATGTATCAAGTCAGAGGCTTCGTTCGTGAGCTCTGTGACATTGTAATATAAAACCTTTCTAGTGCATACACAATTGCCAGTCATTCTGTCATCATTTACTGATTAGGTATTGAACTTTCACTGTGTGACAAGCACTATTTTAGGCAATGAGGAAATAGCAGTAAAGGGAAACTTTCAACTCTCATGGAACTCCCATGATGGGGTAAAGAAAACAGATATTAAAAAATAAAAATAAACACAAGGGACAATATATACTATAAAAAGTAAAGATGGCACAGAATGATCTGGAATAGAGATGATTTGATTGTTTTTAAAGGTCTGTGTAATATATATATAAAAATTTACAGCACAGTTCCAAAAGGAGTAAGAGGGTAGTCATGTGACTGGAGGGAAACATTGGTGTTTTAATAAACAGTGACTATGAGTACGTTCTGAGGTGGGAGAAAAAAGTGCAGTTTGGCTCAAGTTAAGAGATTGAGGATAAATGGTAGTTATGACTTGAGAAATTTAACTGGTTATTCTGACAAGTGGAGTGCTATCTTATAAACTAAATAGTATTTTCAACTTTCAAATAATGTGGGTAAGATCAATATAATTTTTTCTACAAACCATTCAGATGGAAGTTTTGGCCAGGACAGTCAGGCAAGAGAAAGAAATAAAGGGTATTCAAACAGGAGACAAAGAAGTCAAATTGTCTCTGTTTGCAGATGACATGATTGTATACTTAGAAAACCCCATCGCCCCAGCCCAAAATTTCCTTAAGCTGATAAGCAACTACAGCAAAGTCTCAGGATACAAAATCAATGTGCAAAAATTACAAGCATTACTATACACCAATAATAGACAGAGAGCCAAATTATCAGTGAATTCCCATTCACAATTGCTACAAAGAGAATAAAATATCTAGGAATACAATTTACAAGGGATGTCAAGGACCTCTTCAAGGAGAAGTACAAACCACTGCTCAGGGAAATAGTGGAGGACACAAACAAATGGAAAAACATTCCATGCTCATGGATAGGAAGAATCAATATCATGAAAATGGCCATACTGCCCAAAGTAATTTATAGATTAAATGCTATCCCCATAAGGCTGCCATTGACTTTCTTCACAGAATTAGAAAAAAACTACTTTAAATTTCATATGGAGCCAAAAAAGAGCCTGTATAGCCAAGATAATCCTAAGCAAAAAGAACAAAGCTGGAGGTATCATGCTACCTGAGTTCAAACTATACTATAAGGCTACAGTAACCAAAACAGCATGGTACTGGCACCAAAACAGATACATAGACCAATGGAACAGAACAGAGGTCTCAGAAATATTGAATTTTTAATAAAGAAGCTTAAGTTACTGGTTGTATATTTTCCTTCTTTTGTAGTGATTAATATTTATTTGTAAAAATCGTGTGTATATATATACTCCACTTAACTATCAATTATTTATCATAGTGAATTCAGAACTCTATACGTTGCTTAATTAGGGAAATAATAAATTTCTGGTAGTAGCATAGAACATTTTGAGGAAAATGAAGGTAGAAAAGAAAAGCTTAAGTGTCTTGTAAAAACAAAACCATCTAAAATATACGAGATTGAAAAAAATGAAAACCAGGTTTTAGGTTTCTCCATGTTTTCTGTGGGAAAAAATGAAGAGGTGATGGAGAAAAGAAAATAAGAAACAAGCATCTTCTTAATGTGATTGAAAAAGGATAGAGGAACATCCCTTAAATATCACATAAGGCAGATGCTCGAATAGACAAAGCATTTGTCTCCGAATCACCTGAGGCCTAGTTAAAAACACAGAGAGCTGGGTCCCACTCCAAGCCTACTGAAACAGAAGCTTTAAATTTTTGGCCTAAAATCCACATTTAATCAAGATCTCTGTGTGTTTTATACACACATTAAATTTGAGTAGCAGTCCTTTAGGCAGACATTTGTCAGAGAAGCCATTTCACAAAGAAAGATTTCGTCGCCTTTCAAGAGATTATTTGGTAGGGACCTGGCTGTTAATTCAATTGAGATCCACCCTAGGGACATATTTGAAGTAATTTAAATCCTGTTAACTAAGGAGTTTGATGTGTGCTACAGATCAGCACATGGATTCAATTTATTTTGAATACTATCAGGACAAAAAGGCACAGAACTAATCAGAAAAAAATTTGGTATTTTCCTAAAACTCGCTGAGTTGAAATAGTGTTATTTCTCTTCAGAATAAGATAGAGGCTAGAGGAATTTTGTTCTACTTTAACATACAGTAATGAACTAAGTGTATCCATTAAAATAGTAATTTGGCTTGCAGGTTGCATTAAGAAATACAAATAAGAGGGTATGATAAGATATGGAATGTGAGATAAGATCATCACTTTCCTAATTTTGAAACTCGTTTAAAGCCCCAGCACCTCTCAGTCCAGCCTAAGTTTCTTTTATTTTTCTTTTCTTTCACCAGTCCAGAAATGATTTAACTTCCCACCAGATTACTGTATAACACAGTATGGTGTGGAGAGATCAACTGGACTCCTAAACCCACCCTCTTCTGCCAAATTTGAATAAATTCAGTCTTATTTTTAAATATGAGTAACTATAAGGGACTTCTGAAAGTTTAACAAAAATAACACATGATTGACAATGTAGAGAACTATGAGAACTCTTGAAAATGCCAGGATTTTTTCTTTCTAAATATCACCCAATTTAAAAAAAATTAGAATTTTTCTCCATCTCTAAACTAATTTTATTGTCCTTGATTTCACAAATATTCACTCAGTAGGCAGAAGAATGATTTATTAAGGTTCTATTAGTAGTTTGTTCCTCTGCATATTTCTACACTTCCAAATATGCTTCATTTAGAGCAGGTAGCCATATTTTGTACTGGCTCAGTGAAAGGAATATAACAAGTAGAAAATAAAATAAGAGTTTCTAAAAAAAACTTTCCCTCTAGGATACCTGTTACTATTATTTTTGAGATCTCGGAGTGAGAATTTGATCTAAAGTAGAAGACAGTGAGGGGAAAAAAAAAACAGAAAGAAAGAAAGAGGAAAAGACATCCCTATATTAGGAAGGAAAAAGGAGGTCCATAAATCCTATGATTATTACTCCTACGTGTCTCTGTCTATAGAAGGTGAGCTGGTAAAGAGAAATGAATAATCCATGGTGGTCCTATAAGTGGCTCCTGGTTTCCCACTTCAGCATCATAGGACTCTCATGTCTAAGTAATTCAAAGTTTTCTGTGTGCTAATGCCCCAAGATTATCAGAGGAAAGACATGTGAACCAAACTTGGAGGCATCAGCCTTTATTTATTTTGGCTATACAGATTGTTGAGGAATATTGAGTTGGTAAAGGTAGAGAGGAAGCTCTTTTAAAGATTTTGTAATACACTTCTAGGTGATCCAGTATTATTAGAGCTTTTTCATTTATTTAGTAAGAAATTTAATATTTTTAAAATTTTACTTTAAGTTCTGGGATACATGTGCAGAATTTGCAGGTTTGCTACATAAGTTTACATGTACTATGGTGGTTTGTGCATCTATACACTGCAAAAGGTGGTTAAAATTCCAAACCTTCTATTTCATCATCATTCAAATTACTCTGTATGGTAATACAAAGCATAGTAGTCCTGGAGGACACAGAAAGATTGCAGAACAGAAGCCTACATCATTTATGCCTCCATCAAGAACACCACATTTTAACAACTATCAGCACACAGAAAACACTGTCAAAATCATCAAAAATCAGGTAAGCAATCACAGTACCTGGTTTTAACTTCATATCACTGAAAGAGCTATTGAAGGGGCTAAGAAATAGAATCTTAAATCACCAATAGCACCCTTTCCCCATCCCCTGGCAGCAGCCGTGTGGTGGAGAGGAGAATCTGTACTTGGGGGAGGGAGAGCACAGTGACTGGGGGGTTTTGCATTGAACTCAGTGCTGCTCTGTCACAGCAGACAGCAAAGATGTGCTGGGCTTAACCAGTGCCCACACATGGAGGGGACATTTAGGCCATATCTAGCCAGATGAGAATTGAATATGTCAATGGTTGGAACTTGAATGTCTTGGCACTGAGGGCCAAAGTGCTCTAGTGTCCTAGGTAAACTTGAAAAGCAGTCTAGGACATAAGGACTACAATTCATAGGCAACTGCTAGTGCTGGGCTTGGCTCAGAGTGAGTGGATTAGAGTGGCATGTGACCTAGGGAGACAATAGCAAAGGCAGCTAAGGGAGTTTTCCCATTACCACTCCTGCAACCCCAGGCAGTGTATCCCACTGCAATGAAAGTGACTCCTTACTTCTGCTTAAACAGAAGAGAACAAAGAGTATCCAGTAAAAATATTCTTTAAGTATGAATAAGAAATAAAGATATTCCTAGACAGACAAAACCTGAAAGATTTCATCAACACTATACCAGTTTTACAAGAAATGCTAAAGGGAGTTCTTCAATCTGTTAAAAAAAAAAAAAAAGTATGTTAGCGAGCAAGCAGAAATTATCTGAAGGTACGAAACTCACTGGTAATTGCAAGCACACAGAAAAAACCAGAATATTATTATATAGTACATGTAGTATGTAAACTATTCTGAAGTAGAAAGACTAAAAGATAAACCAAAAAAAATTCTATGACAACTTTACAAGACATGGACAGTGCAATAAAACATAGAGAAGAAACGAAAAGTTAAAGACTGGGGAGATAAAGTTGAAGTGTAGAATTTTTATTAGTTCTCTTATCACATGTTTGTTAGTATGTTTATGCAGTCAGTGATAAATTGTCATCACGTTAAAAAATGGGTTATAAGATAGCATTCATAAACTTCATGGTAACCTCAAAGTGAAAAAGATACAATAGATACACAGAAAATAAAAAGTAAGAAATTAAATCCTACCACCAGAGAAATATTCACTAAAAGGAAGACAGGAAGGAAGGACTAAATGAAGAGAAGGCCACAAAAAAACAAAAAATAACAAAATGACAGAAGTAAGTCCATACGTATCAATAATAGTATTTAATGTAAATGGACTAAACTCTACAATAAAAATACAAAGAGTGGCTAAATGGATAAAAAATACAAAAGTCAATGATCGTTTTTCTACAAGAAATACACTTCACATACAACCACAAACACACACTGAAAATAGAGGGATGGAAAAAGATATCCCATAACACTGGAAGTAAAAAACAAAACAAAACAAAACAAAAAAAAACCAGGAGTTGCTATACTTATATCAAACAAAATAGATTCTGAGAAATAAAAAAAACTTAAGAAACAAAGGAAGTCATTATATAATGATAAAGTAGTCAGTTGAGCAAGAGGATATAACAATTTTAAATACATATGCACCCAACACGGTAGCACCCAGATGTATAAACATTATTAGAGCAAAAGACAGAGAGAAACTTCAATACATTAATAACTGGAGACATCAACCCCCCACCATTAGCACTGAACAGATCTCCTAGACAACAAAAATCAACAAAGAAACATCTGACTTAATATGCATGATAGAATAAATGGACCTAATAGACATTTATAGAACATTTCATCCAATGGCTGAAGAGTACACCTTCTTCTCCTCAGCAGACGGATCATTAGCAAGGGTAGACCATACATTAAATCACAAAACAAGTCTTAAACATTTAAAAAATTGAAATAATATTAAGCATCTTTCCTAACAACAATGGAATAAAACTAGAAATTAATAAGACAAGGAATTTTGAAAAGTATACAAACATATGAAAATTTGAAAACATGCTCCTGAATAACCAGTGGGTTAATAAAGACATAAGAAAATGGGAAATTTCTTGAAACAAATGATAAGGGAAACATAACATACTGAACCCTATGAGATTCAGGGAAAGCAATACTGGGAGAGAAATTTATAGCTCTAAGTGCCTATGTCAAAAAAGAACTTCAAATAAATAACCTCGATGCATCTTAAAAAATTAGAAAAGCAAGAGCAAAATAAACCCAAAATTAGTAGAAGAAAAGAAATAATAAGAGGCAAAATTAATGAATTATAAATGAAATCAATACCAAGATTCAATTAAAAAAAAAGCCTGTTTTTTAAAAAGGTAAACAAAATTGGCAAACCTTTAGTTGACTAATAAAGAAAACAAGGGAGAAGACCAAAATAATAAGGTATCAGAGATGATAAAGAAGACATTACAACTGACACCACAGAAATTCCAAGGATCATTAGTGGGTACTGTGAGCAAAGATATGTCAATAAATTGGAAAATCTAGAGGAAATGGATAAATTCCTAGACAGCTGCAACCTACCAATATCGAACCATGTAGAAATCCAAAATCTTGAGAGACCAATAACTAATAATGAGATCAAGGCTGTAATAAAAGTTCTCCGAGTAAAGAAAAGCCTGGGACCTAATGGCTTCGCCATTGAATTCTAACAAATATTTTAAAAAGAACTAATACCAATCCTACTCAAACTATTTCAAATAATAAAGAAGGAAATATTTCCAACCAAATTCTATGAGGCCAGTATTACTCTGATAACAAAACCAGACAAAGACACATCAATAGAAAATACTACATGTTAATGTTCCTGGTGAACTTTGATGTACAAATCCTCAACACAATGCTAGTAGCAAAGCAAATTCAACAACACATTAAAAAGATCATTCATCAACACCAAGTGGCATTCATCTCAGTGATGCAAGGATAGTTCAACATAGGCAAATCAATGTGATACATCATATCAACAGAATGAAGAAGAAAGTCCATATGATCATTTCAACTGATGCTGAAAATTCATTTGATAAAATTTAACATCCCTTCACTATAAAATCCCTCGAAATTGGCATAGAAGGAACATACCTCAAGATAAGAAGTCATATATTATATACCCACAGCTAGTATCATACTGAATGGGGAAAACCTGAATATTTTTTTCTAAAACCTGAAAAATGACAAGGATGCCCACGTTCACCACTGTTATTCAAAACAGTGCTGGAAGTCCTAGCTAGAGCAATCAAAAAAGAGAAAGAAAACAAGGCCACCCAAATAGAAAAGAAAGAAGTAAAATTATCTTTGTTTGCAGATGATATGATCTTATATTTGGAAAAACATAAATGCTCCACTAAAAAAAAAACTATTATAATTGCTAAATGAATTCACTAAAGTTGCAAGAGACAAAACAACATACAGAAATCAGAAGCATTACTACATGCCAACAGCAAACAATATGAAAATCATATAAAAATTAATACCATTTATAATAGTTAAACATAAAATTAAATACTTAGAAATTAATTTAACCAAAGAAGTGAAAGATCTCTATAATGAAAACTGAAAAACACTGATGAAAGAAATGGAAGAGAACACAAAATAATGGAAAAATATTTCATATTCACGTGTTAGAATGAAGTAATATTGCTAAAATTTCCAAACTACCCAAAGCAATCTACAGATTCAATGCAATCCCTATCAAAATACCACAAGAGTCTCAGAATAGCTAAAACAATCTTGAGCAGTAACAACAACAAACAGAACTGGAGGAATCACATAACCTGACTTTAAATTGTACTACAGACCTACAGAATTCAAAATAGCATGGTACTGACATACAAACAGACACACAGACCAATGGAACATAATAGCCAAGAAACAAATCCACACATTCACAGTGAACTTGTTTTCGATACAAGTGCCAAGAACATACACTGGGGAAAGGAAAGTCTCTTCAATAAATGGTGCTGGGACAACTGGATGAGCAGAAGAATGAAACTAGAATGCTATCTCTTACCATATACAAAAACATAATCAAAATGGATTAAAGACTTAAATCTAAGACCTTGAACTATGAAACTACTACAAGAAAACATTGAGGAAACTCTCTAGGGAATTGGTCTGGGCAAAAATTTCTTGAATAGTACTCACAAGCACAAGCAACCAAGGCAAAAATGGACAAATGGGATTATATCAAGTTTAAAAGTTTCTGCACAGCAAAGGAAACAATCAAGAAAGTGAAGAGACAAGCAACAGAATGGGAGAAATCATTTGCCAATTACCAATCTGACTAGGGATTAATTTCAGAGTGTATAAGGAGTTCAAACAACTCTATAGAAAACAAATCTAATAGTCTGATTTAAAAATGGGCAAATGCTTTGATTAGACATTTCTCAAAAGAAGGCATGCAAATGACAAACAGGCATATGAAAAGGTACTCAATATCATGAATTATCAGAGAAATGCAAATCAAAACTACAGGGGGATATCATCTTATCCCGGTTGAAATGACTTTTATTCAAAAGACAGGCAATAACAAATGCTGGAGAAAATATGGAAAAAAGGAAAGCCTCAAACGCTGTTGGTAGGAATGTAAATTACTATAACCATTATGGAGAACAGTTTGGAGATTCCTCAAAACTACCACATGTTCCAGCAATCCTGCTGCTGAGTATATACCCAAAAGAAAGGAAATCTGTATATTGAGGAGGTATCTGCACTCCCATGATTTTTGCAGCACTATTCAGAGGAGCAAAGATTGGAAGCAAGTTAAGCATCCATCAACAGATGAATGAATGAAGATAATGTGGTACTTATACATAATGGAGTATAATTCAGCCATAAAAAATGAATGAGACCCTGTCAGTTCCAACAACATGCATGAAACTGGAGGTAATTATGCTAAGTGAAATAAGCCAAGCACAAAACGACAAATATCACATGTTCTTATTTGTGGAGATAGAGAGTAAGAAGGATCATTACCAAAGGATGGGAAGGGTAGTAGGATATGGAGTAGGGGGAGAATTAGGGATAGTTAATGGGTACAAAAGACTAGAAAGAATGAATAAAAGCTAGGGTTTGTAACATAACAGAGTGACTATAGTCAATAATAATTTAATTGTACATTTAATTGTACATTTTAAAAATAACTAGAAGAGTATAATTGGATTGTAACACAAAGGTTAAATGCTTGAAAGAATGTATACCCCATTTTCATGACATGATTATTATGCTTTGCATGCTTGTATCAAAAGATCTCATGTACACCATAAATATACACACTTACTGTGTACTCAAATAAACTTTTTGAAAATATAAATAAGTGAACAAATAAGCATCATCCTCATTCTCAAATAATTTACATAAATGAATAAATGTGCTTCACCATTGTAAGTATTATAAAATATGAACAAAATGCTATAGGATCATAGCCAGTAAAGAATTGCAGATATAGTTTTATTGAGTAACATGCTTTTGGTTTTGGGAGTGCACATTTCCACAACTTTGTGGGAGCTTAAAAAATAAACAATTCTTCATGGGAAACATCAAATTGGTTAAATGAGGCTCAACTACATTTTGAAGATTATTTAAACTGAGATTAAAATACCATTTCGTTTTTTTAAGAGAATGATTTTCACAATGTTAGAAAAAGGAAGAATGTTCATCCCTTTGTGAAACTTGTTATCTAATCTATTCTTCAAATAGATTTTTCCAGATTTTGACATCATTATCATTACAACATTTCCATTACCACTTCTACCTTAGTCAGCACCCCAATACTACTATTCCCACCACCACTAATGACATAATCATCACTACCAGCACTGTTGCAACTTTTACCATCATCACTGTCACTACCATCACCATCCCAAAACTACACCAACTACCTGACTGCAGACTATTCTGTATTCTATGCTTAAAATAATCTAGAAGTCTTAGATCCTATCATGGCTTTTATTTCCAGTATCCAAAAACCTTGTAGTCTGAAAATTCTTCGTTTTGCCTCAATATTTTTACTATTAATCTAATTTAGCCCAAATTAATTGTTTCTACAACTTAGCACATCTGGAGAATGATCCCCTCCCTTGTTCAGTCATACCTTAGTATAGTCAGTAGTTGACTGTTAATAATTGGTTATTTATGTAGCTGTAATAGTGTTCTGCATTTATTAGCACACAAAATTCAGATATCAAAAAATAATTTATGTAACTTCTACATTTGACTACAATAGATATGACTGTATTGGAATACTCCCTGCAGAAAAACAACTGAAACATAATATAAAAACAGTTACCTGAAAGTATAGTAAGTCCTTTATAGCATTGACATGTTCTTGGAAACTGTGAATTAAAAAGGAACAATGTATAAGGAATCAAATTTTACCCTATACTAATAGATATAAAAAACTATTAAGTTCCTATGGCATATTTCTGGTCACAACAATCACCAAACTTCTACATAAAGATAAAAGTCACTTCTAATATTAAACATTGAAATAAATGTGAGCTATATATGCATTTGAGAAAGATTAATGAAAACAAATAAAATAAGAATTGACCCAATTTTTGGTGAATTAGTAAGTGATGGTGGTCATAGTGGTGGTGGGTTAAATCAAGCAATAAATATTTGCAAGGTGAAAACTGTAAGCAGCATGTCCTACTTCCAAGCAGTTCAAAAACCATAACAAAACATGGTGGTTCAATGAAAGTTTTTAGACCACATTGTTTATTATCATGCATTTGTATGATTATTGTTTACGGCAAATATTTATTTTACAATTATTCTTTTTTATTCAGTCATTCACTTTCCAACATGCTTAGTCCAGTTCAGGGTTGTGAGTGGCAAGTGCCTATAGCATCTCAGGACTCTGAGTGGAAACCACCCTGGCCAAGGCTGTATTTAATCACAGCAGTACTCATACACAAAAATACATTCACACAGACTAGAACAATGAAGACACACCAGTTCATCTGATATGCACATCTTTGGCAGTTGGGAGGAAACCAGAGTACCTGAAGGAAACCCACATACACACAGGGAGAACATGCGAACTCCAGGCAGACAGCGGCCCTAGCTAGAAATGACATTTTTTTTCTCATCAACATTATAATAAAACAACATTGAATGAAAATGATGTCATCGAGGACTCGTTGTACTGGAAAAGGAACAGAAGAAGACAGTGCCCTTTGGGGACTGAGTATGTGAAGGAGAGCATATAGAGAACTATATATCTAAGGACTCCTCCCATTTAAGATTTTAGCCTGTAGCTAGCAGTTCACGATGCATGCAAAAATGTGTTGGAGACACTTGTGGAAATAATCATCCTTGCATGGGGAAAGAAAGGATTGTATACTATGAACACTGAAAAGAGTGGAGGAACCCTGGAAGGGAAAGGGCCAGAGAGGATAACATCAAACTCAGCCAAGAACATGTGATGAACAACATATTTCAACTAAATTGCAAGGATTTAAAAGAATCTGTTATAACTATGTGTAATACATGAAAATAAAGCATGATTAATAAAAATCTCAACAGATAAATAGATTTGAGCTGAGAGTTAGAAACAATGAAAATGGAAAATCTAGAACTGGGCAATGCAGTTTCTGGGGAAAAAGATGAAATTTTATAGCCAAATAAAATGGCAGAATAAAGAGAAAGTATATTGAAGATAGATTAATATTAAGGATCCAAGTAAATAGCAAACAGGAAAAATATAAAAAATAAAGACCTGTTAGATTATAGCAAATGGTCCTTGGACATTGCATAATTAGGGTATCACAAAGAAAACAGTTTTAAAAAATGGAGCAAAAACAAGGTGAAGATACTATTCTCTACATGTTTTCCAAATTTGGCAAGATATGGAAATTTCTAAATCCAAGATATTGAGCAAATACCAACCATAATAAACAGAAGGAAGCGCAAGCTCAGGAACATCATATTCAGACTGCTGAATGCCAGAGATAAAGAACAAATATTGAAAGTGACAAATGAAAAATGACATGTTAGATATACAGGAACAACAATCTGCTTAATTGCTAACTTTTCATCAAAATTCATGAAGAAGGGAAGAGAGTGGAACATCTCCAGCTTTCTTTTTTTTTTAAAAAAAAAATCTGTAATTAAAGAATCCTATATTCACCTAAAATATCATTCAAGAAAGAGGATTTCTTATAGATATTTTCAGATAAAAGTAAGAGAATCAATTTTCATCAGACCTGAACTGTAGGAAACAATGCAGGAAGGCATCTAAGAAAAGAAGAAAAAAATGTGTGAAATGGAAACCACTCCTCAGAAAAGAAAGAAGAGTTTTACAATAAAAAATATCTGAGTAAATGGAAAATAATATGTTTGACTTTCTTCTCTATTAATAATATCTTAGTTCCTGATAAGCATATGCTGTTAAAAAAAAGTAACACTATCTTATGATGTTTATAATATACGTAGGAGAAATAGATGGAAAAATGTATAAAGCTTTCTAAGTAATTCAATCAGAAAAGAGGTTTTCTATAAATTGTATGGAATAACTGAATAGAAAATAATCAACAATGAGTCTCTTCAAACCATATACAAAAATCTAACTCAAAGTTTCTTTTACCTAAATGTAAAAACTAAAACTATCAAAATTCCAGGAGAAAATAGGAATAAATATTTGTGATATTTGGTGAAGCAAAGTTATTTTTACTTTAAAACTAGGCAACATAAATCCTATGTATAGAGAGAAAAAAAAGGTAAAATAGACCTTAGGTTTATAATCTTTCGTCCTTCAAAAGGCATATTTACAAAAACCAAACAAATTGACCAGCTGCAGAGTGGGAGAAACTTTTTCACAAACATGTATCTTTTAATTGACTTGTATACAGACATCTAAGGAACTAATATTATTTAATAATAAAAGACAAACAACCCAATTAACACACACCAAAAAACCCAAAAGATTTGACCATTTTTCCAAAGAAGCTATGCAAATGGCCAATAATCACATGAAAAAAAGCCAACATCACTAGTTATCATATAATTGCAAATTCAAAAATCAAAATTATATGTCACTACATATTCACTACAATGGCTAGCATTAAAAAAAAATGGTATCAAGTACTGGCAAAGAAGTAGACCAAATTAAACTTCCAAATGCTGCTGATGGGAATACAAACTGGTACAGACACTTTGGAAACACTTTAGCAGTATCTTAATTTAAATATGAATTTAATATGCTACCTGGCATTTTTGCTTATTGGAAGTTATCCAAGACAAATGAAAACACAAATCCACCCAAATATGTACGAAAAATATTGTTAACTGCTTTATAGATCATATCCCCAAAGCTATAAATAACACAACGTTCCAACACTAGGAATGAATAAACACACTATTCTGTGTTCATCACAAAAATCATATGAGATAAATGTCATTTTCTCAGGTATGGGTTGCATTGTTTCCCAAATTCAAATGTTGAAGCCCTAATGCCCAATATATAATGATGTGGCTGTATTTGGAGATAGGGTCTTTGAAGAGGTAACTAAGTTAAAATGGGGTCATTAGCACGGGCCCTAATCCAATATGACTTGTGTCCTTTTCTTATGCAGAGGGTATTAGGACACAGACAACAGAGACAAATAAACCATATGGGGAAAAAAGGAAAGGTTGGCAATATAAAAGTCAAAGAGGGAGGCCTCAGAGAAAACTAAACCTGCTGACACCTTAATCTTGGATTTTTAGCCTCCAGATTTATGAGAAAATAAATTTCAGTTGTTTAAGCTACCCAGGCTGTGCTATTATGTTATGGCACTCTTAATAATATAATATACCCCCATTTGTAGTAGAACAAGTGGAATAAATATACAACAACCTCTCAAGTTGATGTGTTCAGAAACGTCTAATTTCACATTCAAATCCACATCTGAAATTTCAAAGATTATTTTTATTTTACTACACTGTACTGCTACCTTTCTTTGTCTCTTTCTTTCATAATAAATAGTACTATTAAAATTGTAGTTTTCCTTCAAGATGATAGATTTGAGGCTTTTAGCATGTCTCAGCTAATTGGAAATAGCGTGATAGTCCATAAAGATAAACTTTGTGAGCTTTAAGTCAAAAAGGAAAATGGGAATCCACTAGATTTTTGAAGGAAACCCCAGGTCATGGGGAGAAGAACATGGGTAAACAGCCTCCGTAAGTGTCTGGCCGAGTGAGTAAAGCCCAGGAGACAGGCAGAGACCCTCCGGCTGTGACTCACTTTTCCAGTGGGGATCCAAGCAACTCAGGCCAAGGGAGAGCATGTTGTTTCTTTCAAGCCCTGGAGCTAACTTGCAGAGAGGCTTGGAGACACTGTGAGGAAAAGGCACCTGGAAGAGCTGCAGACATTTTCTCAGACGCAGGATCAAGAGCAGTACACCATTTTTAATTCAGGCACATACACAATTACACATCTCTTGGTGACTCGGCAGCATGGCTGCTCAGTCATTTCAGTCTTGGGCCAGAGATTGGAGTGCTAATCTGGAGCAGGGTAGGGACTTACACAGCCAGACCTGTGGAAAGCGCATCGGGAAATGTAAGTGCTGAAATTGTGCTCTCCCCTGTCACAGGCCTGAGGCAGGAGAGCTGCTACAGTGGTAGTTTCTCCTGGGCAATGACACTTGTAGCCAGCGTCAGGTAGGCAACCTGCAACCAGTCTGTGTGTGCCACTGCAGGGCACCCCAGCCTGCTCTCCTGAGACAATGATGCAGCAGGGCCCTCTCTAGTCCACCTGCAAGCAGAAATCCAGGCACTTGGAGTAACTTCTTGCCTGGATCAGCAGTCTGAGATGCCCTACTTCTCGTGGAAACAGACTGTGGGACAGTCAGGACCTCGCCCGTCCACACCCAGGCATTCAGAGCAAATGTTTGCCTGGCTCAGCAGCCTGAGATGCCCCACCCTTCCTGGGCATAGATCGTTGTGTAGTGGGGCTCTCTCCACTCCACACCTAGGCAGATCTCCAGGCATTCAGAGAACCTACTTGCCTGGTTCAGCAACCTGAGTCACCACATTTCTCCTGTACAGAGATCCTGGTGCAGAGAAGTTCTCTACACTCCACACCCAGGAAGGTTTTCAGATATTCAGAACACACGTTCACCTGGTTCAGCAAGATGAGCTAACCCACCCTTCACGTGCAGAGATCTTGGTGCAGGAAGGCCTTCTCTGCTTCATGCCCAGGCAGATCTCCAAGAATTCGGAGCACTAGTTCACTTGGACCAGCAGCCTGAGTGGCC
Source organism: Homo sapiens (assembly GCF_000001405.40). NCBI lineage: Eukaryota > Metazoa > Chordata > Mammalia > Primates > Hominidae > Homo > Homo sapiens. Next base: position 119,270,573 of record NC_000007.14, on the reverse strand, counting down.
TACCTCTCCTGTGCAAAGATCTTGGTGCAGAGGGCCACTTAACATTTGACGCTCAGGAAGATCTCCAGGCACCCGAAACAATCTCAAAGATTAGTAGTTTAGGCTGCCCCATTCCTATGCAGAGACCCTGGGGCTGAGAAGGCTTCCCAGCTCTACTCTTAGACAATCCTCTGGGGGCTTAGTGGCTACTTTGGATTCTCCCTTGGTGTTGGTGATTTTGCCTGCCATCGGGGGACTTGTAGGCAGACCTGCCAGGTCTAGGCCCTCATCGTGGGCCTTGCCCTCCTAAGGATGAGAAGGGAACTCAGACCACTGTGCATTCCACGAAACAGCCCATTGCTTGAGGCAAAAGAGGGTTACTCACAGTAAACAAGAATAAAGTATATACCCATCTACAGCGACAAAGCCGGCTCTTACCTATATGCGCCATCTGCTGGCTGATGGGTCAAACTGCACAGCCCAATATAAAACCTACTGACGGAAGTGCACAGGGCTGCAGAAGCAAAGCCAAAATATTCTACTCAGCATTCTCTACAGTCACACCCCATAGGGAGGGATGGAAAGGGAAAGGGAAAAAATATATACAGAGATATTAGTACAGGGGGAAAAGTAAAAAAAGATTCTACCAGTATGATAATAATTACATATTTAGGAAGGAACCAGTGCAATAATACTGGCACCATGTAAAATCCAAATGCAACAACGTCATCAAAGAAGGGCATTAGTTATCCAGCAATGGTCCCTAACCAACATGGAAACTCATAAATAACAGAAAAGAATTCAAAGCATAGATTGCAAAAAAGCTCAATGAGATCCAAGAAAAGTTTGAAAATCAACACAAAGAAACTTCTAAAGAAATCCAGAAAATGAAGAAAAAGATAAAAATCTTAAAATCACCAGAGATTTTTAAATTGAGAAACTTAAAAAATTTCAAAACACACTTGAAAGCTTTAACAACAGATTGGATCAGGCAGAAGAAATAACTTCAGAGCTTGAACACCAGAGTTTCAAACTAACACAGATAAAAATAAACAAAAAATTCAACAGAATCTTAGAGGAATATAGGATTATGTAATGTGGCTAAATCTACAAATTACTGGCATACCTGTGAGAGAAGGGAAAAAATAAACAACCAAGAAAACTGGATATTTGAGGAAAGAATTCAAGATAATTGATGGGATAATTCATGAAAATTTCCCTAATCTTGCTAGAGAGATAGACATCCAGATAGAAAAAAATCCACAGAACACTTGCAAGAAACTATACAAAGTAAACATCACCAAGGCATATAGTCACCAAGGTCAACATTCAAGAAAAATTTTTCAATGCAGCTAGAGAAAAAGACCAGATCACATACGGCAGGCTAATAGCAGGCTTCACAGCGGAAACGTTAGAAGCCAGAAAAGACTAGGGACCATTTATTAGCATTCTAAAGAAAAGAAATTGCAATCAAAAATTTAACATCCCACCAAACTAAGCTTCATCAGCAAAGGAGAAATAAAATCTTTTCCAGATAAGCAAGCACCAAGGCAATCCATTACCACAAGATCAGCCTTATAAGAGATCCTTATGGGAGTTTTAAACATAGAAGCAAATGAACAATACCTGCTACCACCAAAAACACACTTAAATGCATAGTCCACCACAGTACCTATATAGTAACCACAAAATAGAAACTACAAAGCAACTAGCTAACGACTTCACAATAGGATCAAAACTTCACATATTAATGTTAACTTTGAAGGTAAATGGTCTAAACTCCCCATTTGAAAGGTATAGACTGGCAAGTTGGATTAAAATAACAAGACTCGTTCTGTGCTGTCTTCAAGAGAACCAACTCATATGTAAGGACAATCCTGGGCTCAAAGTAAAGAATTATAGAAAAATGCAGATGTCTATCTTCTTATAGTAGATACAACATACTTTAAGATAACAACAGTAAAAAATGACAAAAAAGTGCATTACATAAAGATAAAGGGCTCAAATTCAACAAGAGGAATTAACTATCAAAAATATACATACACTCAACATGAGAGTACCTAGATTCATAAAACAAGTACTTCTAGACCCAAGAAAAGAATTAGCAAGTCACACAGTAATAGCACAGGATTTCAGCACTGACAGCATTAGATAGATCTAGCAATAAATTAACAAATAATTTCTGGACATAAATTAGACACTTGACCAACTGTACCTAATAGACATCTGCAGAACACTCTATCCACCAACCACAGAATATACATTCTTCTCATCTGCACACAGAAAATACTCCAAAACTAACCACATACTCATAAAGCAAGTCTCAATAAATTCAAAAAAATCAAAATCATACCAACCATACTCTTGGACTAAGGTGAAATAAAATTAGAAATTAATATCAAGAAGATCTCTCAAAACCACACAGTTACATGGAAATTAAACGAGTTGGTCCTGAATGACTTTTGGGTAAACCACAAAATTAAGGCAAGAATCAAAAACTTATCTGAAATGAATAACAAAGACACAACATACCAAAATCCCTGGGATACAGCAAAAGCAGACTTGAGAAGAAAGTTTAAAGCACTAAATGAATACCTCAAAAATTTAGAAAAATATCATATTAACAATCAATTATCACACCTGGAGGGGCTAGAAAAGAAAGAACAAAAGGACCCCAAAGCAAACAGAAGAAAATAAATTGCTAAAATTATAGCAGAAATGAACTAAATTGAGACCAAAAATCCATACAAAGAATCAAGGTTACCAAAAGTTGGGTCTTTGAAAAAATAAACAAGATTAATTGATCACCTACTGGAATAATAAAGAAAAAAAGGAAAAAAAAGATCCAAATAAGCAGAAATAACAAAGATGACATTATAACTGATCACACAGAAATACAAAAGGTGCTCAGAGACAATTAGGTACACCAACTAGAAAATCTAGAGGAAATGGACATATTCCTGTTATATGGCCTGGGTCTGTTTAACCACCCAAATCTCATCTCAAATTGTAATCCCCATGTGTTGAGAAAGGGACTTGGTGGGAGGTGATTGCATAACGGGAGCAGTTTCTGCCATGCTGTTCTCATGATAGTGAGTGAGTTCTCATGAGAGCTGATGGTTTTAAAATGTGACAGTTCACCCCTCACACTCTCTCTTTCTCCTGCCACCTTGTGAAGAAGGTGGTTGCTTCTCCTTTGCTTTCCAGCATGATTGTTAAGTTTCCAGAGTTTTCTCCCCAACCATATGGAACTGTGAGTCAATTAAACCTCCTTTATTTATAAATTATCCAGTCTCTGATATTTATTTATAGCAGTGTGAGAATAGGCTAATACAGACAATTGGTACCAGAAGTGGAGGTATTGCTATAAAGAGACCTGAAAATGTAGAAGCCACTTCGGAAGTAGCTAACTGGCAAAGGTTGAACCGTTTGGAGGGATTAGAAAAAGACAGGAAGAGGTGGGAAAGTCTGGAACTTCCTACAGTCTTGTTGAATGGTTTTGCCCAAAATGCTGATAGTGATATGGACAATGAAGTCCAGGCTGAAATGGTCTCAGATGGATATTGAGAAATTATTGGGAACTGCAGCAAAGGTCACTCTTGCTATGCCTTAGCAAACAGACTGGCAGCATTTTGCCCCTGCCCTAGAGATCTGTGGAACTTTGAACCTGAGAGAGATTATTTGGGTATCTGGCAAAGGAAATATCTAAGCAGCAAAGCATTCAAGAGGTGACCTGGCTTTTTCTGAAAACATGCATTTATATGCATTCACCAAGAGACGGTTTGAATTTGGAGCTTATGTTTAAAAGAGAAGCAGATATAAAGGTTTGGAAAATTTACAGCCTGACCATGTGGTAGAAGAAAAACAATTCTGGAGGAAGAAATTCAAGCTGGCTGCAGAAATTTGTGTAAGTATTGAGAAGCCAAATGTTAATTGCTGAGACAATGGGAAAAATGTATTCAGGGCATCTCCAGAGATCTTTACAGCAGCCCCTCTCATCACGGGCCTGGAAGCCTAGGAGGGAAAAATGGTTTCATGGGCCAAACCCAGGACCCTACTGCTCTTTGCAGCCTCAGGACATGGCACCCTATGTCCCAGCCACTCTATCTCCAGCCATGGCTAAAAGGTGACAAGGTACATATTGGGCCTTTGCTTCAGATGGTGCAAGCCCCAAGCCTTTGTGGCTTCCCCATCGTGTTGGGCCTGAGGGTATGCAGAAGACAAGTGTTGAGGTTTGGGGACCTCTGCCTAGATTTCAGAGGATGTATGAAAATGCCTGGATGTCTAGGCAGAAGTCTGATGCAGGAATGGAGTCCTTATGGAGAACTTCTACTAGGGCAATGCAGAGGGGAAATGTGGGGTTGGAGCTACAAAACAGAGTCCCCACTGAGGCACTTTCTAGGGGAGCTGTGAGAAGATGGCCACCATCCTCCAGACCCCAGAATGGTAGACCCACCAACAGCTTACACCATATGCCTGGAAAAGCAGCAGGCACTCAAAGTCAGCCTGTGAAAGCAGCTGTGGGGCCTGTACCCTGCAGAGCCAGAGAGAGAGAGGCAGAGCTGCCCAATGCCTTGGGAGTTTACCCCTTGCATCAGTGTGAACTGGAAGTGACACACAGAGGCAAAGGAGATTATTTTGGAGATTTGATATTTAATGACTGCCTTGCCAGGTTTCAACTTGCATGGGTCCTGTGGTGCCTATATTCTGGCCAATTTCTGCCACTTAAAATAGGAACATTTACTCAATGCCTGTACCCCCATTGTGTTTTGGAGGTAACTAACTTGTTTTCTATTTTAGAAGTTCATAGGCAGAATGGGATTGCCTTGTCTCAGATGACATTTTGGACTTGAATTTGTGAGTTATTGCTAGAATGAGTTAAGAGTTTGGGGGACTGTTGGGGAGGCATGATTTGTTTTGAAATGTGAAAAGTATATGAGTGTTGGGAGGGTTTGGGGCAGAATGATATGGTTTGGCTCTGTGTCCCAATCCAAATCTCATCTTAAATTGTAATCTCCACAGGTCAAGAGAGGGACTTGGTAGGAGGTCATTGGATCATGGGGGTGGTTACCCTCATTCTGTTCTCATGATAGTGAGTGAGTTCTCACAAGAGCTGATGATTTTAAAGTGTGGCATTTCCCCTCTTGCATTCTCTCTCTCTCCTCCTGCCTTGTAAAGAAGGTGCTTGCTTCTCCTTTGCCTTCTGCCATAACTGTAAGTTCCCTGAGGCCTCCCTAGGAATTGTGAGTCGATTAAACCTCTTTTATTTATAAATTACTTATTCGTGGGTAGTCCTTTATAGAGGTGTGAGAACAAAGTAAAACATACTGGAAACACACAATCTCCTAATTGATTCAGGGAGAAATTGAAACCCTAACAGACCAATATCAAGAGCTGAAATTGAATTAGTAATAAAAACCTAGAAACCAATAAAAGCCCTGGACCAGATGGATTCATAGCCAAATTACAAATAAGATCTGGTGCCAATTCAATGAAACTATTCAAAAAACTGAGAAAAGATTCCTTTCTCACTCTTTTCTGAAACTAGCATCACACCCTAATACCAAAATCTGACGAGGAAACAACAAAAGATAAAACTACAGACCAACATCATTGATGAACATAGACACAACAATTCTCAACAAAATACTAGAAAACAAAATCCAGCAGCACAACAAAAAGTTAATTTATCATTAACAATTAGTCTTCATTCTGGGGATGCAAGTTGGATTCAACATATGCAAATCAACACATATAAATCACAACATAAACAGAATTGAAAATAAAAACCATATGATCATTTAAATAGATTTGGAAAAAGTTCTCAATAATATTCATCATGGCTTCATCATAAAGTTCCTCAATAATCAAGGCACCAAACAAAAATACCTCAAAATACTAAGAGCCATCTGTAACAAACTCAGCCATCCAACATCATACTGGACCAGCAAAAAGTGGAACCGTTCCTTTTGAGAACTAGAACAACACAAAGATGCTCACCCTCACCATTTCTATTCAATATAATACTGAAAGTGTTAGCCAGAATGATCAGTCAAGAGAAAAAAATAAAAGGCATCTAAATAGGAAGAAAATGTCAAAAATCTCTCTGTTCTGATGTTAAGATTCTATGCAAAGAAAGCCCTAAAGGCTCTGTCAAAAGGCACCAGTAACTGATAAATAATTTCAGGTAGTGTCAGGATACTATATAAAAAAATCAGTAGCATTTATTCCTACCAATCTGAAAGCCAAAGCAAGGATGCAGTCCCATTTACAATAGCCAAAAACAAAATAAAATACATAGGAATAGTACCAAGACAGTGAAAGAGCTCTACAAGGAGAACTCTAAAACACTACTAAAAGAAATCATAGTTGACCGAAGCAAATAGAAAAACTTTTCAAGCTCATAGATTGGAACAATCAATACCTTTAAAATAGCCATCTGTCCAAAGCAATCTGCAGATTCAACAATATTCCTTTCATCTACCAATGACATTTTTCACAGAATTAGAAAAAAAAAAGACTCTAAAAATCATGTGGAATCATAAAAGAATCTAAATACCTGAAGCAATCCTAAGCAAATAACAAAGCTGAAGACACTACCTTACCTGACTTCAAACTATACTATATGGCTACAGTAACTAAAACAGCATGGTTTTGGTACAAGACAGACACATAGACCAATGGAACACACTAGAAAACCTAGAAATAAAACTGCACACCTGCAACCAATTAATCTTCAATAAAGTCGCCAATGAGGAATGAAATTCTTATTTAAATGGTGCTGGAATAGCTAGCTAGACATATACAGAAGAAATAAACATACAAATGACCAACATACATATAAAAAATCCTCAGAACTCATCATCAGATAAATACCAATCAAAACCACAGCAAGATACCATCTCATATAAGTCAGAATAGTTACTAAAAAGTCAAATAAACAACAGATGCTGGTGAAGCTGCAGAGAAAAGAGAACATTTACATAACATTGATAGGAATGTAAATTAGTTCAACCACTGTGGAAAGCAGTTTGAAGATTTCTCAAAAAATAAATAAATAAATAAAAACAGAACCACCATTTGACCAAGCAATCCCATTACTGAGTATATATGCAAAACAAATTGTTCTACCAAAGAGACAAATCTATTCACATATTTAACAGACACTATTTACAATATCAAAGACATGGAATCAACCTAGGTGCACATCATAGGTGGATTAAAAAAAAAGAAAATGTAGTACATGTATACCATACTGTATACAATGCAGACACAAAAATAATTGTGTCCCTTGCAGCATCATGAATGTAGCTAGAAGCCATTATCCTAATTAATGCAGAAAGAGAAAACCAAATACTGCATGTTCTCACTTATATATGGGAGCTAAACATTGAGTACACATGGATATAAAAATAGATACAATAGAAACTGGGGACTACTAGAGGGGGGTGGGAGGAAGAGGGCAAAAGTTGAAAATGAAACTATTGGGAACTATAGTCAGTTCCTGGATGATGTGGTCATTCATACTCCAAATCTCAGCATCAGGCAAAATATCCATGTAACAAACCTGCACATGTACCTCCTGAATCTAAAATAAAAGTTGGAAAAAATAAGATAAATAAACAATTAAAATTCTACATTTCTCTGTGCAAGTCTTTGATCAATGTGAATGGTAAAACGTTTAGATGCCCCTTTCTATCCACATACGCTTTTGCTTTCTTCATGCTAGACAATGGGACAAATCGTATGTGGTAGAATGATAACTGATAAATTAATTTTGATTTGTTCCCATTGCTCTGGGTGTATGGAAGGATGAAGAGATGAACTTCTATCTTCTTTCCTCAGAGATGTGTTAATGTCTTTAATCCAAGGAAGACACTTTCTACCCTAAGATATTAATGTCTTTTTTAAAGACAAACTTTGGCAGAATTTGCACAAGCAGGAGGATGGGTGTCTAAAAAGTGTCCAACAGGAACTAGGAAGAGAATTAAGACTTCATGGGTCATACCCTTTCTTGAGTCCCCAGGAATGACTGTGGTGCTGTCTCCTGGAGACAGCACTCAGGTTGTCCCAGCCTTCAGCTCTAAAATAATCACTGAAATTAAGCTAGAGTCAAAGAGATGAGAGAAGCTATCTCAAGGTACGCTGGATCAATGAACACATCATTCCAGACTTGGTGTGGTGGACTGAAGAAGAGTCTTTCTTCTAGAGTCTTAAGTAGGATTATAAAAAAATAGGAATCTTCCTCATTTCAACCATTGTTCACGACTGAGAATGAATTTTATTCCATCCTTAAGAATAGTTGCATGGGAGAGCTTGAATTCGGTTTCAAAAATAAGTAGATATGGTATTTTTTTGCACCCCAGTATATTTATTGCACATATACTTACTGCACAATTAAACTTTAATTCTTCTGTCTTCTGTCAGACCCACTGAGGTGGCGTTGTTCAGTATTGCTGTGGAGAGAAAGTAGAAGTCAGTAGAATGAAATGTGGTTTGTTTATATCGCCTTTCCCTTCACCCTTTGCAAGAAGTGAGATAGATGCTTCTGTTTAAGTGGTGACCAGCAACCAAGTGGGCCATAGTTCACAGCAGATCAGAACATAAATGAGGAAACAAGAGGCTGAGGTACAACTTCTGAGCAGATCACATAGAAGTTATTTAAAAGAGAATATTTGTTTTCCATTTTTAATGTAGAAGAGAGGATGTTGACTTAAGAAAGTATGTGTGAGGGAGTTGGTGGCATTATTTTGAGAGATATATAGATGAGTCTTATTACTATTGAAAGACTTTTAATCAGTATGCCTAATTCCCTGGCCATGAAGCATAGTGGTTTACCCTACATATTTAGATTTAGAGTGTCTTAAAAACAACAACTACAAAACTTTCTGAGTTTCATTGCACAACAGAATTATGTGGTGATATTGGCTACTCAGAAATAGGTATTGCTTTGAGGACCAGGTTCAAAGTTTCTAATACATGTTTTTTTCCTATTTGAGCACTTGGAAAATGTATAGTTGTCCATTAAAACATTAAGGACAGATATTTGAATACAAGGTGTTTTCTATTAGCCCACCTATTACTTAATTAGAGAAATGTAACATTTGGCCAATTAAGAGAAAAAATAATAAAATAAAATGTTTAATTTCATTAGCTGTAACTTAATTACAGAATTTAGAAATCATTTTTATATTTCTACAAATGTACTGGGTTTTTATTTCATAATAACAAAAATGCATTGACTCACATCAATTAGAGCTAGCAAAGTCTATTTCAATTATTTAGTATAATTCTCTCATTTTTACAGTCACAGACATTGAAACATAATAATTAGTGAGGTATTTTCAATCAACAATATAAGATATTTTCATTATGGTAAATTCTTCATATGTCATCTATTTTAATAAAAAAGCATATTGAACATTTTTGGAAAGAGTTTGGATACTATTACAAATTAGTTTTATAAGTTAGAAAGATGTTTAATCAGAGGTACGAGAGGATCTAATACTTTTTACTGTATTTAAAAGTTAAGTTTTTAAGGAAACAGATTTTTGAACCACAAACACTTCTGAGATTTTTTTCTGAGATCTTTTCTGAGCAAAATATTTCTGAGTTAAAATAGAGTTTTCCTTTTACTGACAGGAAGAAAGGTGGAGGAAAGGTAAAGGAGGCTGGATAAGAAGTTTCAGAGCCTCCACTTGCATTCTACAAAACATAGATGCATAGATAAGGACATAGATAGATTCATAGAGTACAATACTGTTTATCAATTTCTTATAACAGTTTTTAGCTTGAATTTTTGGCCTTTAACTCCTGTTTTATTGTTTTCTATGATGAATATTCTTCTCCATATCTTTTTGTGAAATTTAACATCTAACAGATTTCACAGAGGCTTACAATCAAGGCAAAAATTCTCAGTTCTTCTTTGTCCTTTTTATTTTCATAAACACCTGCATTGTTTCATTTTTTAAAATTTCATTATAATTTTGATCATATGGTGTTAATAAGAAAAGTTGCTAGCTATTCCCAAAGCAAGCCATTTACTTTCTTGCTTGTGTGTTTAGTTGTGCTCTGCCCTTTTCCTATAATTTCCTTCCATGTTTCTATGTAATACAGTTATCTCCTTCACCATAATTTTCCCAATACTTTCGCATGTAAATACCCATTCCTTTATTGGATATTCCTGGTTTCCTTGCACTCAGCCTAAACATAACATTAAGTTACCCTACTGTGTAATGAAGTGATTCATAGCACAGTATGTGGCACAAAGACATAAAAACATACTAATAATTATTCTAACATTTGTTGCTATTTCAAATGCAGAAACTGTTTGCTGCCCTACTGTAGATTTTTTAAATTGTGTTGTCTTTTCTATGTTGATAATTTTGTTTGGAAGCTAAAAGAACAAATTAAACGTATTAAGTACATGAAATAAATATGTATTTAAAAGTAACAGAAATTAAGAAAATGGGAAATAGAAAATAATCAAAATAGTCGCTTTAACAAAAATAAGCATCAAGAGTAATCAAGGAAAATGAATAATAACATGAACAGTATAAGTAATAATACTTCTGTCAGCACTAGTTGATCATGACCATCAGGAAAAGTAATTCTGGTAATACATAATTTGACAAGGGAGATTATATTAGTTACTCCCATGTTTCTCTGAACATTCTCTTGCTCTTCTTCAACTCACTTCTAACCTGAAAGAGAAAAGTGCCACAGTCACAGCCTGAGAAGTGATCATGGGCTGAGACTCATTATTGATTCGGGTAAGAATCACTACATTGCCGGGCGCGGTGGTTTACTCCTGTAATACCAGCACTTTGGGAGGCTGAGGTGGGCGGATCACAAGGTCAAGAGATCGAGACCATCCTGGCCAATATGGTGAAACCCCATCTCTACTAAAAATACAAAAATTAGCTGGGCGTGGTGGCACGCACCTGTAGTCCCAGCTACTCCGGAGGTTGAGGCAGGAGAATCACTTGAACCTGGGAGTCGGAGGTTGCAGTGAGCCAAGATCGCGCCACTGCGCCACTGCACTCCAGCCTGGCGATACAGCAAGATTCCGTCTCAAAAAAAAAAAAAAAAAAAAAAAAAAAGAATCACTACGTTAGGTAAACCACATCATCTCAGGGGCTGTTTCCTAGAAAACCAGACTTTATTCCACCAAAGCACTTAATGAAACATTGTGTCGTCTTTGAACACCTGCTGAGCCTACAGAATGTCAACACCTCAAGATGATGGTACTATATTCAAGAAGTGTCTTTGTAATTACACCCCCATTTTCTTCTCAGTTGCCCACGTACAATCCTGAAATTAGCAAATGTAGAGAATAAAGTTGAATTTCCATAAACAAATTTATGTTTTCTAATTAGAAAGTTCTCTCTTTTACTATTGCTGTAAATGATCCTAAAGTACTCCAGAACAATGAACACGATTTTGTAAGTTTGGCTTATGCTAAAAAACTTGGTAATTATATACCGAGAATATTCTGTGGGCCACTGTGACCAGAGGACCTTTCACAATATGACCAGTGAGATCATAGACCCTTTGGTATCCAACCCGTGCAGACATAACAAGGAAATCTTCAGAGAAAGGAAAATAATCAAATTATACTTTTTGCATCAAGTGCTCAACTTGTTCAATCTTGCGGATGTACACATGAAAATAAAACAAAGTAGTGACAGTGTTTGCAAAAATTATAATAGTCTCTTTGCAGAGACACTGATTTCTATGTACTTTATTTGTTCTTGCCCAATTACTGAATTTGGTAAGTAGAAATGACTTTCAACACGCTTCAGCAGTGAAGAACGACCAGCCACGTTTTTAAACTACACTGATAAAAATATATAGACAGATAATGGATTTTCAAAGCCAAATTGTGTAGAAAAGGAACAGGAGCTGGCAGTGCTCTGGGAAATGAGATCTGCTCAGAGCTTTTTAAGTGACTTTTATCATGAAAAAATTATTCAGGAAAAGCTATTTAATTCTCTCACATAATATATTCTTCAGGTTTGGAGAATTATGACTATCTTAATACTTCACATGACATATTTCTAAGGCTTAAAGAAACAAAATGATATGAAATATTTATTGATAACCCACAAGGCAAGATATACTGAGGTGGTATTAAGTTCTTCTGAAGTCCAGAAACACATATTGGCATCATAATTGTGACTCTTAACTGCATGCTAAAGTAGACTCTGAAAGAAAAAGTAAATTCAGATTAATGACTAATAACGGAGAAGATCGTTCTCTGTTAAACACAAGGTAAACTCTTTTGTTCATGGGTTTATAAAAGTCATATGTAAATAATCAACTTAAGGAAGATTAGTCATACTAACATTTTTATCTCACATATTTTTTCTTCTTTGATTTTCTCATATTAAAAAGGGGATGGGTCTCCAGTGAGGCCCCACCTTCAGTCCAGGGAGGGCCTGAAAGCTAGGGACCAGGCTGCCAGTAACACAGACTGGAATAGGGACTGTGGTGCCTTTTACAGGCTGGCCCGTGGAAAACTGGCAGGGCTTCCTGCCTCTCCAGGGCCTCCTCTCTGCTGAGAGCTGAACACTTGAAGGGATGACTTGCCTATAGAGAGGAGCTACCCACCTGCAGGTCTCCTCTGAGCTTTTCTAACACTCAGCAAAGCTCCTCTTCATCTTCCTTTCCCTCCACTTGTCTGCGTACCTCATTCTTCCTGGGTGGAGGACAAGAACTCGGGAAAAGGCACCGTCGGCCACAGAGGTTTCTGGCCAGAAAAGCAACACCCAAAGATCCCATAACAATACCAACATTTTTATCTCAAGTACTTTTTCTTACTTCTTTGATTTTCTCATATTAAAAAGGCATTTGCTAATTGTGGACATGAAGAATGAGAAAAGGAATGAGGGTTATCTTAGTGTTAACACAAATCCTATTCTGTTAGTTGAGTAAAATGGATTTGACAACGGAATATTTTAAACCAAATACATGAGGTTGTCCAAGAAATCCCCATTTTCTATGTGTTTTATGGGGAAATATAATTATTTGCTGTAAAAACCATCTGCTTTTCTTGCCAACAACTTCACTTTTAATCATTGTTTCAAGAGAATGAATAATAAAGAGACATAAAAGCAAATAAAGGGAAGAGCCTTATTTGTATTTACAATCTCAGAACCAACAACGCCTTACACTTACACTTTGTTTCCGAGAACATGAAATCTTAAAACAAAAGTCAATCCCAAATAGGTTGCTCACTAATAACTTTATATGTGCTTTCTTCAAATCCAAAATAAATTTAAAATACCTAATATTTTATTTATGATACACTATAGTTAAAATTACAAAGTAATAATATCAACTACTTCATAAATCTGTTTTTAATCCATTTTGCTGGCTTTATAGGCAGAACCTAGTAAAGTTAAGGAAGATAAATACTAAGTACTGCAGGTGTTTAATCAACACAGTCCCTTTTGTATTCTATGATTTGGCTCTTCTTTTCATGATATATCATCATAAAATATGGATTTTGTTCAAAGCTTTCCATTAAGAATCCAAGATCATTACTGAAGGTGAGGATAGAAACGAAGAGTTTTTCTCCGGACAATCCTCAGCTCTGGTATACTCTTGCCTTTCCACCTCATCAGCTCTACCAAGTCTGAATTTCCTGACTTTTAAGGCACTATGCCAGCTCCATCTGTTTACTCACCTAATATGAGTTAAATTTGTTTAAGGATGAGTTTACCTACTAAGGGATTATCTTTTATTTGCTTATTATTAGCAGCAGGAAACAGTGTGTAGTTTTGTCCATGTTCTGTATATATGTGGGTTCAGAGGTTTAAATGATGGGAAATGGAATATATGCTTTTTTTAAAAAGCAATATAATTTACATTAATTAATTTAACATACGGTCTTGGGTCCAGCCAAAGCCAGGGTTCCACTGTACAGTACATTTTCTCCCTAAAGCCAAGGAAGGAAATGAGAAAATCTGTCTTTGTGTGTCTTGCCAGCTTTTTTGTTCTTTTAAAAGTGTTATTATACCTTAGTAAGAAGCAAGCTTCATATGTTTTATGTTTATCTCTTTTTCATTCATAATCATGTTTTCATATATTAGAAATACTTTGTCTTTTATCAGTAAGTCTATATTATGAAATAATTTACTCAGCTCTTAATATTGACATCTACTTCAGGGATGACTGTACAATTTTTGACATAATATCAAATTCTTGCACTCATACACACACACAAATCCTCCAAATTTTTACAATATTAAAGTTTTAAAATTATTTTAAATACATTAGTATGGACAAAATATAAGCATAAAATTATAAAATACTAAATGAAAGGCTCTCATGACAACAGTACCATCACTACATTGTTCCCAAAGTAAAACTGATGGTCAGATGGCAAAGTGCCATCAGCATTAGTGTTATGTAACAGTTGCAAAGCTACCAACATGAAAAGGTTCACTTTGGACACTTAGATTTCACTGTTTGTTATAATACAAGTGAGAGGTCTCCAAAATATTAAAGATGAGCATGTTAATTAGATGGTAAGATGTTAAATATTTTATTTTCTATAGATTTGAAAATGTGTTACTGTTAAAACAAAAGAAGCCATCATTAATCAGGCTGGTTTAGAAGCCTTCTTTCAATAATATGATGTAATACAACCTAATTATTTTATAATTATAATTTATGTACTAATCATTGCACTTCCAAATACAAAATTATGCTGTTTTTGTTTTCATTTTTCTCCCCTTGTAGAGCTTGAAACCTGTAAAATGCTAAGCTAATGATATTTTCCTTTTAAATGTTAAAAAGATAGCTATTTATACTGGTTCAAAGTAAAATTTAAAAGCCTAAAATATTTTATCAACTATGAAATATTTTAATTAAATCATATTTATATTATTATGTGAATTAAATATTTCCATTATAAATATCATAAGTATATTTATACATTTCCATTATAAATTTTATAAATATATTTACATAGGCTTACTTTGGATATATTTTTGTCAGTTTTTCAGATGAGCTGATATGACAGAATCATTTACTTTTCAAATAAACATGATGCAGCATTTCAAATGCACATTACTAATAATTCACTCTTTAGTTGATGGGTCTTTTATTGTATTTATTTCCAAAATCCCAGTTTCTTCTATTATCTTTTCCTTAGAAAGTAGATACATTTGAAAAAACATGGTTATAAAAGTAAATTTAAATCTCCCATTTCTCCAAAGATAGGAGAGAAAAACAATCAACAGTTTGTCCATGGAGAGAAAAATTTTCCATTCCAAGGATATAAACACCTTCATGAAGATTAATATTTTCTACCTAGTATTTAAAATTTCAGCATTGGTATTAGGGGTAAGACAGACTATTTGTTAGATCACTCTTGAATTAAAAAAATAATAATTGCTGTGAATCCAAGTAACACAAGCCTGCCTGACAAACAGAATGACATTTCATATTCTAAAATATGTCACAATTATATTTGAATCTAATTTAATTTTTCTCCTACCAGCAGGACATCTTAAAACAGATGCTTTTAAGAATGTCATACACATCTACTCTGTTTATCTCACATTGCTTTGCTTCCTTTTTGTTTTTAATTGATTCTCTCTATGTAGCAGCAGTCTTATAATTCCTGACTGTTTCAGTAACCCCATGACTCATCACATAAATTACTCTGTAAAATTGCTTGTACAATCTATACCCTACCTAGATATTTCACATGTTAGGGCTGACAAATAGAGACTATCACAGAATTAAACTTAGGACTGTGAACCAAAGTTAAAACTCAACTAAGTAAAACTGTATTTTGTGAACTGAGCTTAGGTGAGCTGAGGTTATTAATTTAATATTTCTCAGTGCACTTCCTATCTGCAAAATGGGAGGATTAGATGAAATATTAGTTAAGTTCTGAGTAAGAAGTTTGAATCTGGATTCTAGTCACTTAAAAGTTAGAATAAGATGACTTTGTCTATTCAAAAATACATTTATATAATTAATTTTCAAAAATTTTACTTTTATAGTCTTATCTTTAATACTTATGTATCTTTATGTTTAAAAATATTTTAATATGTGACTATATCTGAAGACCAAATAATTTGGTATCATCACCAATAGAAGTGCATCCTTCTGTGTTCAGACAAGAGCACTGAATTGAATCAGCTTTGTCTTTATAAGGGCCACCGGGTAAAAGTCTTACTTCACAATTAATCTCTGAAATTTTAGGGAAAGTTTTTATTCTTTATCTATTTAATGAAGAATTTGTTAAAACTGATTCTTTATAAGAAATTTATTTAGTCTCCTTTCTAGTTAACAAATCTAAAGACTGAATATAGCAGAAAGTCATATATGTTCCAACTATGTAAGAAAACATACAAATGAATAATTTTTTCAAAGCATAACTCAGAACTAGGGTTAAATTTGAACCAGGTGAG
This sequence comes from Homo sapiens, assembly GCF_000001405.40. Taxonomy (NCBI): domain Eukaryota; kingdom Metazoa; phylum Chordata; class Mammalia; order Primates; family Hominidae; genus Homo; species Homo sapiens. The sequence continues at coordinate 119,254,161 of NC_000007.14, read as the reverse complement.
TCAGTCTTAATAATATCCACTTATTATCATTTCTTAAAACCCTATACTGAAGGCAATCAGAAACCAGAAATATACTAGTTAAACTTGCATCAGTGCCTTTGAGACAGTAATTTCATTTTTATCAGTTTAACTTAAGTGGCTTTCTCAAATATGATAGAGCTTAAACATCCTTAAATGAAAGAACTCTGTATACAGTGTTTAAACAAAAATCATGGGCAAAATAAAGCAAATCCAGACTTATTCTGGTGTTTTGTTTGTTTGTTTACAGTCATTGAATTTTCTAGCAGCATTTATTTTACCACCACTCTACCTTGGTAGTATCAGAAGCAATACAAAGCAGACATTTCCCACCTGGGGAGATTAGGGTATCTGTAAGCATCAGCACTGCAGAACTCATCTGAAAATGCACATCTTTATTGTAATGTTATGTGTACATAAGTGTATGTTCAGTCATATGTATTTTAGGTATACTATTTGTGTGTTTTATAATTGTCTTTTCACTGAATTTTTATTATCACTTACCACTCTCAAAATAAATTACAGGGAAAATTTCAAATGGCAATTTTACAATGATAGTGTAATGTTCTTAAGGTATATATCATATAAGAAAAGCAATAATGCTCACAATTATTTGTTTTTAATTCAGTTAATTAAATTGAGAAACCAATGCAACAAGTGATAGAAATAATTGCTAACATGATGGTTTAAAAATGAATTTATTTGTGTGTTTAAAGAATACTTTGGTAAATGAATGGCAAAGAAGAGATAAATCTTTCTTACAAAATAATTCCAAATAATATAAGCAGATATTTCTTATTCCACAAGGTAGTACACAATTCCTATCTCCCCACTCTCCACTTTTGATGTTAGAGTAAACTTAATGATTCACTTCCAAAGAGAAGGCTAGAAAAGCAACAAATAGCAACTTAAAGAAGAAATACCTAGCAAGCACTATTTTTAACCAGGTGATGAAACACTACTGGGGCCATCAAGTAGATACTATAATAGGCCATGGTAAGATTACATCACCTATGTGGTATTCTGTCCAAGACCTCATAACTCCCATCTAATTATAAAAAAACAAATAAGCAAACAAATAAAACATTGAAGAAACTCAGATTGAGGCATTCTACAGGATACTTGGCCATTTTACCCCAAGACTATCAAAGTAAAAGGAAAAATAAAAAGGACAGAACTGAGAAACTGTCACAAACCACAGGAGACTGGAGAGACACAGTAACTAAATGCAAATAAATCTAATACTGTAGACTGCATTTTGGAGAAGAAACAGTGCAATAATGGAAAAGTAATTAGTAATAAAACTCAAATAAATCTTGGAGCATGGTTAATCAATAGTGCACCAGTATTAGTTTCTTAGTTTTGATAACTGTGCCACAGATATGCAAGTTGTTAATAATAGAGGAAACTAGGCAAGATGTGTACAGTAATTCTGAACTGTCTTTGAAACTTTTCCATAAATATCATATTATTCAAAAAAATAAATATATTGAAATATAAAACTGAACCAAAACAGTATTTCGGTCACGGTACAATGTAACACATACAATCAATGAAAGCTCTCTTAGCTAAATATATCTTAATTTTCTATTTAGATTAAATCGTGTTGTTTATCCTCAGTCAAAACATATGCCCAGAAGCCTATGCCACGAGAACTTAGAACGAAGAAGATTTTCTGTCTCCCACCAGTGAAGTCTATGAAAATTCAGTTTTGTTTGGCACCAAAACTTTATCCTACTTATATTTGTTTTTAAGTTTGCATAATCAAATTAACTACCAATAGCTTTGAGCTTCAGGAGCATTAATATTTTGAGAGCCAAGTATTTTGTAAAGGCACCAACAAGGTGAAGGTGAAATACCTAAATTTTGCTGTTAAATTAATACCAACACTACCACCTTTCCATAGGAGAAAATTCTAAAAATCCAGGTTTATCTACTAATATTACTTCACAGTTTTTTTTTAAGTTCTTGTTATCCTTCAAATGAAATAGACCAGAAGGTAAGAGATCATATTTCAGGTGACACATAGCAAATATAGTGCCTAAGTAGAGAATTCATATTTAGGTCCAAGGTAAGGTCAAATTTTGTTTGCCACTGTCTAGCTGTGCAATCTTAAGTAATTTTAAAGCTCTTTCTATTATTCACTATCTTCACCTATAAAATAATCAAACCAAACTCCTTGAGTTCTTGTGAAGATTAGATGTGTCAATATATGAATAATACGTAAACTAGTACAAAAGAACATAAATTCCATATGTCTTAGATATATTAATTTATTCAAAAAGACATAGTAGAACCCCAATAAGCAGACTCATTCTCAAAAAACAGCCTCCATTTAAACCAACTGGTCAAACTCAGTTCAGACTACAAAGAATAAGAGGGTAATTTTGTGATAAATAATAGCTATAGAAAACTTGGCAATTCTAATGTATATCAATGTGACCAAAATATACTAGCCCATGGATCTGTCAATTATATTAATCTTACAAATATTAGTATTATTAGTATTAGTATATTAATCTTACAATTATTAGTATTATTCCAAAATATTTTAATAGTATCAATAACTTTTACAATTTAAAATATGCAGCAATAAGAAAGTGTGAAGCTATGCAAAATAAGTCACAATTGAAATATCTACTTTGGTATTGACGTTAGCTAAATGGGTCTGCTTTTCCTGAAGCGCTGGTAAGAGTTTCACTAGTTTTTGGTCATAGATTACAAATCAATTCCATGATCAGGCTTTTCATACTGTTAAAGAAAAATTATTCAATGACACTCGTTAAAGCAAATAGTAAGGTAAATTTTAATCAGGACTACTGCATAGTATCGGATTTTGCAGTAGAGGAGAGATTGGGTTCAACTCAGAATACAGCATACACAACTGGAAATTTACAATCAAGGAGCAGGGGGTGGTAAGGGATGTCAGTGCATGGAAAATTACTAAGCATGAACCTTAAGAGTTAGTGGGATTCTAGCTGAACCGACCTAATAGGATTTGTATTGAAGGCAAGCCACAGTCATGAGACATCATCTGAGGGATACTGAAGGATAAGAAGCTTGATCAGATACGCAGGATGATCAGATATCAAATGTTGGGAAGTTCTTGCCAAAGTGACCTGGCAGTGTTCTTCTTCAAACTAAATTTTACAAGGAGGTGCAGAGATGGGCCTAAGAGAAAATTCAGGAGTATGACTGAAGTTTGATCAAGCCAAGAGTCTTTGTGAATATCCCCTTACTGGTCAATGAAGCATGAATGGAGCTAAAGGAAGTTCTACCTACTACTGAAAAAATAAGATTAAACACCTGTTTTACTATCATTGATCATATTTATCATCTTCAAATAAGAAATCATCTGACATGTATAAAATCTACAATGCATTATAGTGTTGCCTAATCAAAATAGGCAGAATCTATTTTTCAATATAACTTATCCCTGAAAGTATATGATAAAATGAGCAATAAAAAGAGTCATTTTCTCAAAGAAAAATATGCCATCAGTTACCTCTTCTCAATATATTTTACATAAAGTCATGTTAAACAAACCTGTATTAGGTATTTGATAGATTTTTCTTTGAATTTCAAAGAGTTGTTATCATATCTAGTGAGTTTTAATGTATAAGCAGAGGCTTACAAACATGGATGTTAGATGATAGCACAAACACATACACATTCTCACATATACACCTAAAATGTATATGAGATAGTAGAATTATTGTAAATTGCTCAAAGGTCTGCAAAGTGTTTTACTCCAAGTCCTATTATATTAAAATACATACTGATTGTAAGAGATCACCTGATGCAGTTCAATGTGTACACAAAGAATTTTAGAAAATAACGTCAAAAAGAATAGAGACTTGAACAATATATGTATGAGTCAGGCTGAGTCCTTAAATTTAATAGGGCAAAAGATAAGAAGTGAAAAACAGCTTAAAAGATTAAGTAGTAAAACATATAGTCTCAGAATAAAATGTTTATATTATGTTAGGAAAAAATTAAAATTATCAGATGATATTAAACACATTTAATACCATTAGGAATAATCAAGTCAATGGATAATGCATGGTGAAATCAGGTTTCTCATTGTTGGACAGGAAATTTATAGATAATCAAGGGGAAGAGGCTAGAATGATACATTTATTAATGGCTTAGAGTTGAGACATTAGTAAGAAATCATGGTTAGGATAATAAAATTAAAGATGGTTACATATAGAAATATTTATAAATATGTAAATACATGGATTACTATACGCATATATATTTATACAGCATGTATATGTATATATGCTGTGTAAGTGAGTAAGTCTTCAGTGGCAATGAGCACACTTAGTGTAAAATCTTGGTTGTTAATATGATTATCTAATAAAGATCTAATAAAGGGATCTTTGGAGAAAAGATGGTTCTAGGACTTATGCAGGAACTATACATGATGAGATTGAAATACTTTAATACAAAGTAAGTACAAAAAGTAAATTTTTTAAAAGCCTACATCTTGGAACAGAAAACGACATTAGGTAAAAAATAAATCTGAATAAAATGTGAGCTATTGTTAGTAATACCAAATCAACATTTGTTAATTAATTGTGACAAATGTATCTTGTTAATGTAAGATGTTAACAATAGGGGAAACTATGTGCTATTTGGGCATTTTCTATATGGAAACTGTCTCATCCATTCTTATGTAAATATAAAGCTGCTTTAAAAATAAAGTCTATTATAAAACAATAAACCTTCACTTACATTAAAAATAAACTTACAACACTTACATTACAAAGAAACTCCTCTCACCTTTATATTCTATGTCTCTAATTATTTTTCTCTAAGTTTAAATTGAATAAATTAAGAAAGTTGATTATGAAAGTTCCCCAATAATAAACACATATCTGATAACAACCATAGAAATAGAGACTTGAACTAAAGTTATGTTCTGATAATAAACCAAAATTATTGCCAAAAGCTCTACTTAAGAACTACCTGGATTTATATAAGTAACTAGTGCTATTCTAGATTGTCATAAATTTATACTTTGTATCTTTGATCCCTATATATGTATATTTGGGAAAAAGTTAAATACCCTACTATAAAAAGTATGAATATGTGGCAATTATATATGCATAAAGGTAAAGAAAATATTTGAATGAAAGTGTGATATATAAGCTGTATCAACACTTAGCATAATGTAATGAAAAATTGATTTCAAATATGACCTTGGATTCCACTAGGGAAATTAACTCATGCGAAAAGTAATTTTTCAGTCTGATTCTGAGCGAATTAGTCAACATATAATAAGAGAGAAAAGGCCAAGTGTCCTCCAGAGTGAGGAAGACAAATGTCATAATATATTTTAGGTATTTTTGTTATTAAATTAAGGTTTCCATTTTATTTATTAACAAAAAGTGCATTCTTTCATTTTATAATCATTTACAATATATTTTTCCCTAAACTTAGCTTTTTAAAAATTTGAATGGTCATACTATATAGCAACATTTTGTTGTCCTCCCTTTCCTTTCAAAGGATGCACAAATATTCCAAATTACTTTTGTTGCCTGATCACAGAGAAAAACAAAACAAACAAAACAAAACAGTTGCCAATTTGTTACATAAAATCCTTGGGGAAAAAAATGCACCCAGAGCAATACTGGCTTGCAGAACAAAAGGAAAATACTCTGTCTTTTCCATAATTTAAACTCTTTATTAAACAATAAATAGTTTAATATTAAACAATGAAGAGTTTAATATCCACATCAGTTCTCTTCTTAATTTATTAGTTTCTGCAGTCATTTAACTTTTGAATGATCCCTCAAATCTTAAAGAAGAGTCAGTGAACTGAAGTTTATCTAAATAAATCAAGAATGTATATGACAAAGTTAGTCCTTGAGAGTCTCTAAAAATAAGAGACTACTTCTGCCATTCTGAGACTTGAAGGAAGCTAAACATATGCACAACTTAAGCAATTTAACAAAGTAACCCTCAGAGCAATATTTTTTATATAAATAATGTTGACTGAAGCTATAAGGCTAGCATTTAAATCACTGTGAGTACAGAAATAGGCAAATATATATCACAGTAAGGAGAACTTTAGAAGAAAATTGTCAGGATACAACAAAGAACCACCAGAAAGCACCCACTTACTGATAATCTCTCATCTTGCATAGCCTAGTCATTGAGTCATTGCTAGGTAGATAATTGGATCCTGCATGTGCCTGCATCACCAACACAATGCATTATGTAACACTATGGATAGTCTAAGGTCTCTGCTTCATGTTTCCTTTCTTCTTCTCCATCCCCTCTTTGAGTAGATGTATCTATGGCCAAGATTCTCAGCATTAGGAGTCTGAATCTCTCAGATTCTTCTCCCATCTTGCTTATCTCAGAGAATCTACAAAATACTGAGAACTTCCCTTGTTTACCAAGGGGACTTATGAATATATACATGACAGATTATTACATTATTAAGCTAAAATAGGACAGTCCTCTGATATCACATCAAAACTTAACAAAATATTTAAAATCTCAAATTAATCTAAAACATGAGTTAATCCCATGTAAAATATGTTTTTTGTATTGAAATTAAATTAAACTAAATTAAATATTTAGAAAATAAAGATTTAAAATAAATTTATTTTATTCAACATGGCTCATTGAAAATAGTACAGGAAAAATATGTTTTTAAATAAATTCAGTATGGATAGAAGAATGTATATTAATTTGCCCAAAAAATGTCTGCATCATTAAAATAATGCCAATGCAGAAAAATTAGTCAGTGCGAGAATGCCATGTGAGAGCCAACAACAGTTTTTTAACATTACTTTTAGTTGCATTTAGATACCTTACAAATTTGGTATGTGATGTGACAAAACATGATGAAACTAACTTTCTGATCTTTGACAAGGGTGTCAAAAACACACAATTGTAAAATGGTAGTCTCTTAAACAATTGGTGTTGGTAAAACTGGGTATGAGTAAGAATGAAATTAGACTCCCATTTTACTCCATACACCAAGATAAACTAAAAATGCATTAAAGATTTAAGTGTAAGACCTGAAACTGTAAACTCTTTGAAGAAAACATAAATAAAAATCTTGGCATTGGTCTTGGCAATGATTTCTTGGTTTTGACACCAAAAGCATAGACAACAAAAGCAAAAATAGACAAGTGGGCTACATCAAACTAAAAAGCTTCTGCACAGCAAAAGAATCAGCAGAGTAAAAAGGCAACTTACTAAGTAGGAGAAAATACATTCAAGCCATAAATTGTCTATTAGAAATGGATAAAGGGCTGAAACAGACATTTTTCCAATGAAGACACACAAATGGCCACCAGTTATATGAATGGGTGCTCAACCTAACTGTCAGAGAAAGCTATATCAAAACTACCATGAATATCACCTCATACCTCTCAGGATGGCTGTCATCAAATGAAAACAAGATACTTGATGGTAAGGATGTGGGGAGAATAAAACCCTTATACACTTTTGGTGGGAATGTATAATAGTGCAACCACTATGAAAAAAATAGGGAGGGTCCTCATTAATTAAGAAAAGACTTACCATATGATGCAGCAATCTCATTTCTAGGTACATATCCAAAATGATTAAAATGGGAATCTCAAAGAGCTATGTGCACCTCCCATTTTTTATTGCAGCATTATTCACAATAGCCAAGAGGTAGAAACCAGGTATATGACCATTGATAGGCGAATTGACAAAGCACATGTGGTATATATGAACAATGGAATATCATTCAGTCTTAATAGGGAAAAGATCCTACGATTTTTTGACAATACAAATGAACATAGGTGACATTATGCTATGTAAAATCAGTTAGTCACAGAAGGACAAATACTACATGGCTTCACTTATATAAGGTATTTAAAATAGTCAAACTCATAGTAACAGAAAGCATAATGATGGTAGCTCACTTTTCTAGAAAAGGAACAGAAAATAAATCCTAAATAAAGATGTAAGAGATGAATAAATACAACAGAAGATAAAGAGAAAGCAAACATCAAAATATAGAAAATCATCAATGCAAATTATTTATTTGAAAAGTCTAATAATATTAATAAAATTCTAGGAAGACAGATCAAGGAAAAAATATAGAAGAAAGTATACACCAATGCCAACAATGGAAAAATTAAACAGTCTAAATATGTAAATAAGACAGTATATTTTGAAAAAGAATAAAACTTTTCTCCAAAATAATTGGCAAAATATTTGGAAGATACAAATTTATTGAAAAATATTACTTAGAACAGCTCTCTATTTTAAAGAAGCTGAATCTAGTTTAAAAATCTCATGAAGAAAAGTCTAACCTCAATTAACTTCATTGTTGAATTATCACAAAATTCTAAGAAAGAAATAATATCAATTGTACGTACTTATTTCCTGGGAGGAGGAAAGGAATAAATGTGTACCATCTAATTTTATATGATCAGTAACTGTTTTATATGACCAAAAAAAACGCAAAGAAAAATGATAGGTCAATTTCTTTCATAAACATTAGCAAACAATCCTAACAAATAAATTAGTATATTAGTTTCAGTGATATGTAAATAGCATGCCATTGATTTATTCTAGAAAGGCAAATTTCATTAAGTGCTCAATAGTCAGTGTGCACATCAAGTAAAAATAGAGGAAAAATCATATGATTGAGAAGGCACAGCATAAACATTTCTGTTTTAAGAAGTCTAAACTAGAGTATTTACGAAACAAACAGTATTAATAATACAGCAAATATCATACCTAATGGATTATTGAAATATTTTTTCTCTGAGGTTGGGAAGGAGATAAAGATGACTGCTACTACTTCCATTTAAAAAAACACAAGCAGCCTTTACTTGACCTAAAGGTAAAAATAAATTTAAGAAAACATGCAAATACATACAGCAAAGACATAGCAATAAATAAAACTATCATCAGGCATGCCATAGAATTGTAAATAAAGATAATCCGAGTAGCCACAAACAAATTTATAAATGAATTTATAAATGAACTTATCAGTTTGAAAAGACCACTAGATACACAGTAAATAAGCAATAAATCAAATTTTAATTTTATAATAACAAAAAAGATAAACTTTTGAGTAGTACTGAAATATCACAAAATATCTGGAAACTTTTTTTAAAAAGTTGTGCAAAACCTCCCAACTGAGGCATAATTTTTAAAAGTAAAATAAAAAGACAGAGGGTTACACAATGACTACAGTTTGAAAAATTCAACATGGAAAGATGTCAGATTTAAAATAATCACAAAGGAAATTCCATCAGCACAAAAATAGAGAAGGTTATTTAAAGAACAAAGCTGAAGGATTTGAACTAACAGATAGCATAATCCACTGTTACTAAGACAGTGTAGGTGCAAGAATAGTCATACTGACCAAGTACCCAGAATAAAGTAGAGGAACAGATGCACATATACATAGTTGATTTACGCCAAAGGTGACACTACGGTGTAGTTGTAAAAAAATAGAACTTCAACATATGTTAGTGGCTCAATTGTATAGTCATCTGTGAAAGAGTATGTATCTGGATCTTTATTTTACCCTCTTAAAATACACACACACACAAACACACACACACGAACTGAAGATCTTAATATGAAGAAAAACAATAAAGGAAAAAGATGGGAGTGTCTTTGTGAGGATAGAGTAGACAAGCTTTCTGAAAAGGGGTCAGAAAGCACCAATGATAAGAAAAAAATGATAACTTAAACGAAATTAAACTATGTTCAAATGAAAAACTTCTCTCTAAACTCTTAACAGAGTGAAAGGACATCCAGGAAGTTGGAGAAGATACTTGTAACAAATTTTTCAGCAAGAGATTTAAGTAGTATACTGCAAGTCTTCCCTTAACATTGTAGATAGGTCCTTAGAAACTGTAACTTTAAGTGAAATAAAGTCTAGCAGACCCTCTAAAACAGTAATTTTATTATAATACTGATGAGAAATAAAACGTTTTTAAAAGAAAAATCAGTTTTCTTAAATGTATAGTTTCAAAGAAGTTATGGGTGATACTAAGTGAGGTTTTGCTATATATATATATATATATATATATATATATATATATATATATATATATATATATATAAAGAAAAAATAGAACAACCCAGTAAAAATGGTAAAAATTTGAGCTTGCACTCCGTTGATGAGAATATGCAAATAATCAATAAATATTTGAAAATATTCCCAAGTTAAATAGATATTATTAAAAGAAATGCAAAACAACAATGCAAAATCACTTTCTACCCACCAAAATGGCTGAAATGAAACAAAAACAATTACATCAAATTTTGAATTTGTGACGAAATTGGAACTGCAAATGCTTTAGAAAACGTTTCAATGATATCCGCTAAAAGTAAGCATTTGCAAATCCTCTGGTCCAGCAATTCCATAGGATACACCCCCAGTAAATGTGTTCATATAGTTTCCTAAAGATGCATACTATGCTCTAAAAAATAAAGTCTCTTGAAAAAGATATATACTATAATGTTTAAAGCAAAATTATTTTTAATGGATTCAAACTGTAAATACCCAAGTGTCCATCAACAGAAGAATGATAAATGTGTTGTGCTATATTCACACGAAGAAATACTGTGTAGCAAGGAGAATAAATGATCTATAATTACACATAGTTATGTGGCTAAATCTTATGATACAATGTTAAATGAAAAAAGCCAAACGCAAAACAGTACATTATGTTAGTATTTTTTTATATCAAGTAAAAAAAATGGATGGAAAGGTGAGCTTCTGTGTGCTAAGTTTCTATTCCTTGATCCAGTTACTAGTTACATGAGTGCATTCCATTTCTGAAAATCAACTGAGTTGTATGCAATTAAACATGGAATTTTTCATATACCTTACAGTTCTGTAAGTATTATATAGGAAAACAAAGGAAATATAGGGCCATAATCAACTAATGTTGAGGAAAACTCTTGCCTTAGCACCTATGCATTCCAAGGATGTCAGCTCAGTAAAAACACCCTACTGTGGGATATTGGGTTGGAGATGGGTGGATGGAATTGTTAAAATCACTCCTTTATTCACAATATCCTTACAAATAGAACTTTTCTCTTATTATTGTGGTATAAAAAGTATTTATGAATTCAAACAAGTATTCTGACAATTAGGTCACATTATAAAACATTCTGCATTAAGCAATTCTAATATGGTACCTATTGAAAGGAGGTAAGAGAAATCTTGGAAGGCCTGTTCAGTTATGTTAGTCCAAGACGAAGCCTTTAGAAGGTCAGAAGATGACTGGGAGAAGGCATTTTTCCTCTCTCTTAGAAGAGTTCTTTTGTGAAGAGAAAGGGCAAGCCGACCTTAAGTACACGAACTCCTATTAGACATGTGAAGGGATTGCTGTTGTAAAGATACTGTATAAAATATATAATAATAAGTACAGAAGGAAAAAATAGGAGAATTCTGTGAGTTTATGTTTTTTTATATGTTCTCCCAATTTCTTACGTTCTCATACACTGGATATTTTAGAACCCCAGACTCACTGTAAGAAACCCAACATTATCTCCAAAATACCAAAACACACACACACACACACACACACACACTTTTTACCTCTTAGCCTTCATTTGTTTTGATGCCTTTATATTACTGTACTCTAAAAAGGTCTAATTTATACATCCTAAGGTGAAACATGTACAATGACTAAGACTCAGGGAACTGAATGGTGAGCAGATGTAAAGGAAAGAAATAGGATGCAGTGTTTTGTGCAAAAACCATGGGGGTCTTTTGAATAATGATAAGGTAGAAGACGGTTTAGGTGCTATTGCATGTTTGGCCAGGTAGTTTGCCTCTTAGATTAGGAAACAGACTGGGAGCAAGGAAGGCATTTAATTACCTATGGGTATAGAAGTTCAGAAAATGGATGTTACTCATTGTAAGTTTACATGATACAGATACAACTCTCAGGGACTAAGACATCTGTCCAATAGTATATCCAGCAGTTGCTCAGTCAACCAGGGAATCCATTAGTGATGTTTTACAATTAATATATTCTGAAAAGCTAAGGCTAGAGTCTGACCTTCTGAAAAATGTCCTTGATATGTTTCTGTTCTTAATATATTTGAAAAGTAATAATCTCAGATTGTCAAAATCTGGGAATTTTAGTATTTTTGCCCCAAACTCTAATATTAATTCATCTATCACACAAATAATTGAAATTTAGCAGATACTTACCACAGAAGACAACATTAATGAACATTTCCTATTTATCAGTGTGACCAATGTAGTTTATTAGTAATAGGTTTTTTCTATGCTTCCTATAAATATTTATACTTGTAATACAATTGTATTAAAATATGATTTATTAGATAATTTCCTGATTATTGTACTTATGATTTATTTTCTACAATAACCTGATTGTTGGTATGTATTAATGTGTAGGATATATATTACCCTTTAAACTTTATTTCATAAAAATAGTCTGAGTGCAGTGACTCACACCTGTAATCTCAACAGTCTGGGAGGCCATGGTAGGAGGGTCACTTGAGCCGAGTTAGAGACCAGCCTGAGCAATACAGCAACACCTCATCTTTACCAAAACAAACAAACTAAAAATTAAGAATATTAGCTAGGCATGTTGGTGAGCACCTGTAACCCTAGTTACTTGGGAGGCTGAGGTGGAAGAATCCCTTGAACCCAGGAGCTCCAGGATGCAGTGAGCTATGACCACACCACTGTACTCCAGCCTAAGTAACAGAGTGAGACCTTGTTTCTAAACCAAAACAGACAAACAAAGCTTTAGTCCATAAACGGCATTAATTAATTAGATTTGCCTATGTTATTTATTGTATGCTGGCAGCAGAAAGTTTAGTCAAAAATATCATATCACTTCTATGGGTTAAGAACCACCTACGTGATTAACTAAATTACTACTTTAAAAAATACAGTAACAGGTTATGAGCTATTTATATGGAAATATATTGTAGTATATGTGTATGTGTATGTACACACACATATACACAAATGTGATTTATACCTGTGTATATGCAGGTGTCTATCTGTTCTATTTTTTGCTCTCGTCCTTTCACTCTCAAATTTCTCCTGATATTTTATTATGTACCCATGTTTGTCAAATCATTTCTGCCTACTTGTTACTGATTCGGATCAGAGTACTTATTCCTTCATTTGGGGTCCTCTCAATATCTATTTGCAATGGTTAAAATTTTGCTTTGAAATAACAAGTTTTTACCAAGAGTATTCCTGAAGAAATGTATGCCAATATGCTCTACAAATGCCACATGCCCATCTATCACCCTTGGCACAGCCATTTTTTATGGTTTCTTTAATTTGAGCTCTATATCCCTAGAACTTTGTGTGTGTAGACTTTGCACTCAGTAACACCCCTACTACACCCCAAGATTTCTCTGCTTGACAGCAGATTCGTCAAGAAAGCAATGTGCTGTGGATTGAAAAGGTAACGTTTGTGGAGAGTTTTCAATCTGCCATGTACTGTTCTAAGTGTTTAATAGCGTTAGCTTATTTAATCCTCAAAGAACCCAATGATCAATTAACATTATTATTTCCATTTTACTAATTGGGGCATAGATCGATGTATCCCAGGCAGACCCTGCCTATGCAAGCAGCAGCCTTCCTTTGGAGCATATGCTCTGAGTCTGGCTGTGCTATGCAGCTTCAAATAACTTCCTGATTTGGTTTCCTAGCCACTAACCCAATTGAACACAGTATTAGGTACTTTTGGTTGTATTCTCTCATGGGATTTTTACATGAAAAAAAACTCCTTCTGAATTTTTTCCTTGGCATAAAATCAAACAAAACCAAAAACTTCCCTTTCTACCTCGTGTTCCATCAGCCCCTAAGACTTCTATCTGTTTAGTCTATTGTTTTGTAATTGTGATTTATGCTTCCCATTTCTCACCTAGCCTACACACTTTGTCATGCTTTTGAAAATTCAGTCTATGCTTCTCTATGATTTTTTTAATGGTGTGTCTTCATATTGCTCTCAAAATAAACCCAAACTTTCCAGAAGGAATAATTTCTATATCCCCTTAGAAACAACAGCAGTAAACTATTTTTAAGTAAATTACTTCTTTATAACAACACCATTTAATTGAAGATGATTTAAGTAAAAATATTTGTCTAGAATATTTTCTTATAAAACAAAATTATACACATAGATAAGCTTTTGTAAATATTTAATTAAATTCCATGATGATTCAGTTCTATTTTTCATCTTAGTAGAAAATGGACCATTGATTTTAATTAAAACATCGAAGAAGTAGTAGACATAAAATAGTAATAGTTTATTCACTCACATGTTTTCATGTTTGTTAGGGGAAAAACAATCTGAATATTTCTTTGTTGATAGAACCTAAGTGTCTTTGGTCAAAATGTTTATAAAATGTTAAAAAATTCAAAAATATGTAATTGCTTGATAAAAATGTATTCCCAAAACAATGACATTTAGCTGCTCTGTGTTAAAAATGAATAATTTGATAAATCTTATTAATATTATTGTTCACTAGCTTTTTTTAATTTTTACTACATGGAGTACCATGTATACCTGATTCACATAGTGTTCATGCTGCCCTGAAGTTTCCCCTTCATTTGAAATATTCTGGGATAAACCTGTAAATATAAATCTATTTGGCTCATGCTGTGCTATGGAGGCTATATACACTGTGTATTTTTAGGGAGGAACTATTTGTTATTTTGCACATAAATAAGTTTAGATTTCAATTGAAACAAACTATTATTCAGTAGAGTCCCACAAACTCCCTTTGCATTTTTATAAAGTGAATATGATTAAATTATAACAAAAGTATTTCAGTAACTGGCTACAAAGTTTCATGAAACTGACTATGTACTAGAATCTCAAAGATAATGGTTCATGAGTTTCCCTTTGAGTGTCTAATGTGCAGCCCATTTCATAAATGTTTATAGCTATGGATCTTTTTTATTCCAAAGATGCTATTCTTTTCTTATCCATGTGCATATATGGTTTCAATATATATGTATATATGTACAGACATATACAGACATTTACTTTCATGCACTTCTAACAAGTATAAGTTAGATTTCTTTATAAGTTATTCATAAGAAAGAAGGCAAAAGTCATGTGGTTTATCATATTTTATTGCTACCATCACAACTGGTAATATTCTGCTGATATTTTTACACTTACTGTAAATAAATACTTTATACTGATTAGATATATTATTTGTATGATATTTATTATATCTTTTATCATACAAGTAATTATACAATTATCCCGATACCAGTTTTCTTTTGTTTACACAAAAAGAGATTTTTTTAAAATTTTAATTCAATATTTTTAAATGCACATATTAATTATGTTAATTAGTGATTTGAAGTTGGGCTGCAAAATAAAACCAAAACTACTATCATAGCTGGGATTGATCAGATGATTAGATCATCAGTAAAGGTTTTAAGATGTCCAAAGCAACTTCCCAATGTATGTGGGCAAAATATTTCAAATTCAAATTTGATTGAAGATCTACATGAAGTTATATAACTGCAATCCTTAGTCTAGGAAAGAGAACGTGTGTGTGTGTGTGTATGTGTGCATGCACGTACACGTGCATATGTGTATATTATACATAAATTTATATAATCTCTATATAACTATATATATTTGATCTCAAAATACATATGAAATTAGTGCAGCATGTATTCCCAACCTATTATTTTCCACCACCAGAGGAGTAATAAAAAAATAAACTTATTTACTACAATAGTAACAAGGACCAGATATTAAATGAGTATAGTTTTTATTTATATTTATTTTTGTGCATGGTTGTTGATATGATTTGGCTGTGTCTCCACCCAATCTCATCTTGAATTGTAGTTCCCACAATTCCCAGCTGCTGTGAGAGGGGCCAGGTGGGAGGTGATTGAATCATGGGGGCAGGTCTTTCTTGTTCTGTTCTTGTGATAGTGAACATCTCATGACATATGATGGTTTCATAACGGGGAGTTTCCCTGCACCAATTATTTCCTGCCTGCCACCATGTAAGAGTGACTTTTGCCTACTGCCATGACTGTGAGGCCTCCCCAGCCACGTGGAACTGTGAGTCCATTAAACCTCTTTTTCTTTATAAATTACCCAGTATCCTGTATGTCTTTATCAGCAGTGTGAAAACGGACTGATACAGTTGTGTAATAGTTCTGTTAGCAGATTATCACAATAAACCCTCACAGAAATTCAATGTGGTAGATATTATTCTTATTTTTAAAATGACAAAATAGATGCTTTGTTATACTAGATGATTTTCCAAAGACAGAAACAAGAATCCACATAACTTCAACTATGCCATGATGCTTTTGCTCCTACCATTTTAACTCCATTATTTCATACATTTCTCTTATAACTTACACATTAGAAATACAGACCCAAAACGTAAGATACTAGATTCCCAGATCATTTAATATAGTAGCATTAATTAGTACATCCCACCACAGGTGATAAAGGGAGTATGCACACATGAGTAATGTACAGCCTCTTCAGAAGTCAAAATTGCATCAATAGATTTCACATTACTGCCTGAACTCCGCCTCCTGTCAGTTCAGCAAGGGCATTAGCTTCTCATAGGAGCATAAATCCTACTATGAGCTGCATACAGGAGGGATCTAGGTTGTGCAGCTCCTTATGAGAATCTAATGCTTGATGATCTGAGTTGAAACAGTTTCATCCCCAACCCATCCCACTGACCCTGTCAATGGAAAAATTGTCTTCCATGAAATCAGTCCCTAGTGCCAAAAATTTGGGAACTGCTGTCTTAAACATTTCACGTGCAACTATAATAATTCAACAACACTCAGGTCCTATTTCACTGAGAGAATTGGGCAAAAAAGACTCTTTTCAATTGTCAACCTCATATCTATCCATGAGCTGTCATCTATCTCTTACATTCTACCTTCCTGTTTCCATAAATATACTTTTCATGTTCTTATTCATGCTTTAATCCCCATTTGCTTAATCAAGGAAATCTTTCCAGAAACTATTTTCTCTTCCTTTTACATCAGTATTTTTACTATTACCCTATGCCCATCAACAAAATATGTCATTTTTTTCACATTTTATATTAAATGAGTAAAACAAGTTATTAATGGCACTTCTGTCAGTGAGTACTCAATTATTCCTCCCGTGGTTTTCAGCAAACTTCCTAAACAGTGTTTTCTATATCCATTGGTTACAATTCTTATCCTCTCCTTCTTCCTTAATCTGCCTTCAGACCGGACACTTTGTCTCATCAAGTCCCATCCTAGTTTTTTGCTAGATCACCAACAATGTTCACATTATGTGACCTGTGGTAAGCTTAATAATGGCACCCCAAAATATCCATACCTCGATCCTTGGAACCTGTAAATATTTTACCTTACATGGTAAAAAAATAAAAATGACTTTGCAGGTGTGATTATGGAAAGGGTCTTGAGATGGGAAGATTATCCTGGATTGTATTTTGAGGTTAAAGATAATCACAAGGGCATTTATAAGAGAAGTATTAAAGTCAGAAGGAGAGAATTTAAGAGTGGAAGCAGGGACCAGAACAAGAGAAGATAGAAGATGTTGCACTGCTTTTTCCAGAGATGGAGGAAGGAGTAATGAGCTAAGGAATGCTACTGTTCTCTAGAGGCTGAAAAACTCAAGGATACAGATTCCTTGCTTTAGACTCCAGAAGCATCAGCTTGTGGAAAACTTGATTTTATTCCAGCAAAACTGATTTCAAACTTCTGACTTCAGAAATGTAAAAAAATAAATTTGTGTTGTTTTATGCCAGTAAATTAGTGGTAATGTTTTATAGCAGTAATAGAACATTAATATGTAACTAAACAAGCAGTCCTCACCTATCGAATGAATTATGGGATAGATGACAATGATGAGGAGAGAGAAAGAATGAATCCGCAACAAAACTTACTTGAAAAGGCTTTACATCTTTCATATAATTTCATCTCCTGCTTTCTTGGATACCACATTCCTTACCTTTGCAATTAATGCACTCCATTTTATTGTTAATTATTCTTCATTTCTTTGGCTATTTCAGTTAGCAGAAACTTTCAGAAAATAAAAATCTGAGAAAAAATTATGCATAAAATTATCCAAGAGAATTTAATAACTTAGAAACCAATATAGCCTATCTATATCCTAATCTAATATTACACAAACAGTAACTTTTTAAATAATACAATTTAAAATTAAATTTATACTTAGTGTATCATAGCCAGTCATTGTAATAATAATTCTATTATTCAATTAATACATAATATTTGAGAAAAAATATTACTTTAGTTCCAAGATTTAGTTTGCTGTTGTTTTTATACTGAATCTAGTTTATAACTTTGAAAACTAAAAAATTTATATAGTCATCCAATATCATTTAGAAAAAAACAATTAAATTTATTTAAGAAGATTTTGTTAGGAGGTAAATAGATACAAGTATAGCTGTAATTTAGATACAAGTATAGGTAGATTTTTAAAGAGATTTTGAGATATTGTAATAGATGCAAACAAATTGGCTTCAAAATTACTAATGGGTAGTTTAAAGTGAAAAACTGGTTTGCTTTTTCTTTTTAAATTAACAACAGTTAATGAAAGAATAATGAGATTTCAACTGAGACGCTTTACCATCTACCTACAAAGGCCTTTGCAAAATCTATTTTTATAAGAGAAAAATGCTAAACTGACAACAGTAAAGTTCTTTTGATCTCATACAAATATTAAAATTAATATAATAAAAATAACAATTTGATTTATAAAAAATAATGATCACATAAAGCACAGTGGGGGTGAATAAAATCAATTTAAATATATTAGATTATCATTCTATAAAACCAAAATTGTAAGGGTGTGGTATTGGTGCAAGACACAAAAGTTGTTCTAAATGCAGAGCACAGAGATATTGCTGTGTATTAAGACCTGCATATAGGCCGGGCGCAGTGGCGCACACCTGTAATCCCAAGCACTTTGGGAGGCCAAGGCGGGCAGATCACTTGAGGTCAGGAGCCTGACGCCAGCCTGGCCAACAGGGTAAAACCCCCTCTCTATTGTAAATACAAGACTTAGCCAGACATGATGGAACGTGCCTGTAATCCCTGCCACCCTAGAGACTGAGACAGGAGAATCACTGGAACCTGGCAGGTGGAGGTTGCAGTGAGCCAAGATCGTACCACTGCATTTCAGCCTGGGCAACACAGCAAGGCTCCATATATCAAAAAAAGTATAAATAAATTTTAAAAACTGTATATAAAATGTAAAACTATAAGTTAACAGAGAAAAGATATAACCGATTATCTTCATAATATAGAGACACTTCATAAGGTAAATCAAATGTTGGATTTGATTACTTCAAACTTCAAGAATTTTATTCCATAAAGGAAACATAGAAAAAATAGCAGAAAGATAGTGCAATGATAGAGGACCTTTTCAACATTGAAATTATAAAACATATTTGGATCTCTTAAAAAACTATAAGACAGCTACTACAGCTGAGCACAAGACACAGAAGCAACTTAAAGAAGGGAAAACTCAAAGGCTAACAATCATAGGATGAGAAATTCAAACCCACTAGCAGTCAGAGAAACTGAATTCAAAACAACAAAATAAATGTCTTTACATCTATCAGAATGTGAATTATTAGGTAGCGGTATGCTATGAACTGTTGTCCAGGTATGAGGATTTGGAAATCTTTGTGCACTGCTGATAGAAATTTCTATGTGTGCAAACATTTTGGAGAGCAATCTGGATTTACAGAGTCAAAACTCATAAACTTAGTCCTGAAGTATCAGAAATTCTGCTCAAAGGTATATTTCAAAGAAACCAAGTGAAATACTGGGGAAGAGGAGGTTTGGAGACAACCTGGGATTTTAGTTTCTACTAGATATTAAACGTCATTGATGCAAATTACCATGGAGTGCTAACAGCAGATAAAGGAAAGGATAAGCAATAGACATAGGAACATGGATGTCACTTGAAAATACAGTGCTGAGTACAAACAAAAACAAAGAATAAGAAATATAGTCATAATTATAGCATAAAATTATGAAAATTAATATATGGTGTACACAGACTGAGAGAACATACATTCTAAGAACACATATAAACAAAAATAAACAAACACATGCATTAAAATTGGTACCTATGGAGTGGAGGGATACAAGACATGGGTTGAAGGAAAAATAGAAGGAATGAAAAAGAACAAATAAATCAATTTAAAACATTCCTTGAAAAATTGGTGATGCATCACACATTCACACACACATGTACACATATAATACATACAAGAACATATATGTGTATGTTTACGATCAAATCTCTATAACTTATGACCAAAAGAAAGACCTAAATTATGTTTTTATCACAGAATTTTAAACAATTATGTTTATGGAATATTGTTTCTGAATACATTTCTCAAGCCCACTTTTACTTCTATACTACAAAATGTTGAAATTTGTAGTAAGAAAAAAATATATTAAATTTATCGAGCGATAATTGGACTTTGGGGATAAAAATGGTCTCCCATTGTTTAAGTTGAATGAAAATCTGTGCCAAGAAGCCATACAATAATTTAATATTGCTTATCATTTTTCAATAAGGGAAAGAAATAACTTTGATAATCATAGTACATAAGCTCATAACTCAGGAAATACATGGTGTCAGAACTAAAATATGTCCCAATGACACAGGTCCAACCTGGTAAGTAAAAAATAGGGAGAAGTTAATGCTAAAAATACACTTCCTGGGATAGTTCTCTAGGTTGCTCTGTCTCTTCCTTTGATTATATTGGCATTTACATCAAAAGATTCACTACATATGGAAACACATTTCCTTTCTTCATATGTATTAATTTTGCAACAGATAAACCAAATGTTGCCACATGATTATAAATTCTGCAGCTGCTAACCTAGAAGGAGCACACCTGTAGTTACATGTTTTTGCAAATTTCTGGCCATGATTGATTGCCTCATAAATACCATTTTATGATTCATTTCATGTCCTTTTTAAAAAGGATCAAGCAGAAGAATAAAGAGGATTCAGAAAAATAGAGAAAAAAGAAGGAAACATTTTAAATATTGGAAAATTTATAAGGAAACTTTAAAGGTATTAGGTTTATGCGGACTAGAAGAGGGGAGTAAAATACGTTTTTCGCTGAACTGAGGAGGTAACCAATGATATTTTTTTTCTAAGGAGAAAACAAAATAATTTCAGTTGCAGTGGCACAATAAATCATTAGACATTTCCCCATTGGACAAAAGAAAGAAAAAAATCCTCAAACATGTAAGCAGAGTTAGCGGAAGTGTCTACCTAGAGTTTCACTGTATTTTCACTGTTAATGAATTTTCCTGATTCATCAGTAGAACACATGAACTTTTAAGACTAGAACCTTGTTTGGGTATTCTAATTGCTGACACATTATGTATGCACTGATGGTTCAATATAAAATGCCTTTATTTTACTATTTCCTTGAATTCCACTAATTTAGTCCATCACAAGAGAAATACCATGTTCTACTGAAAACACAGAAAGTACTGGGGAAAAAATGATGGAAAATTCACGTGTCAAGAATTTGCTGTAACAGGTATTTTTTTCTTCCCCTCTCAAAATTCATTGTGAGTTTTACTATGTATTTTAATATCATCTTCTAAGATATGTTTCCCATGCAGAGCTACTCAGCTCACAAAGAAATACTTTGTAACCACTCTTCTTTCTGTATGCTAATAATTAATTTTGCTGAAACTTGGTCTAAATATGCAACAGCCACCTAGGTAACATTTAGCTACCAGGTGTAATTCCTACAAGTGGAAATTAGTCCTTGGGAACTTGGCAATGCTGGTATACTTGGCAAGGACAACGAGCCCAGAGTTATCATTTTTCTCCACACATATGTGCCTATTGCTTAATATTTACTATCATCCTCCAGTGAACTCCAAGATGCTGTGAGAGAAAAACTGCATGCCAAGTTATGACTTTTTTTAGGCTGGACATAACCAATATAATGAAAAGAAAGTAATTCAGCTTTTAGTTCCCCGCCTCATCTTCTATCCCCACTGCTTCCAACTAGAGCCTTCCAGGCATCAAAATCTGGCCTCAAGAAATAATCAATTTCCAGTCATTTTTGCTCTAGCTTAAACATGTAACTGTGTTTCCTCTCCCAAGAATACTAGTGTTTTAAGTCGTATTTCCAATTACACAATTAAATATCTTTTTATTGTCAAAATGATAGCAAACAATAGGAATATTATTGTAAGAATAAGGCCATAGAGATTTACTTTTTTGTGGTTTAATTGCTTGTATATCAGGAGACATTAAAGAAACTATAGCTAAAATCATTAGAAATATATTCTCATTTACAGCTTGAAACAATCAGATTCAAGTAGATTCATTTCATGTAAATTCTTATTTCTTACTAAAGTACTAATCCTTTAAAAACATTCCTTGACATTTTCTTTTTAGTATACATTAACTTCTACTTATCCTACTTATTTCACATGAAATTTTTATTTTCAACTGTAATATATTTACTGAGGAATTAGGAAGTTGGTTTTACATTTATGGTACTGAAAATGGTACTAGGTCCAGAGTAGAAGCTTGATAATTAACAACTTCACTACCTTATTTCATCCTCCAACAGTAAAAGGCTATAGTAACCAAAACAGCACGGTACTGGTACCAAAACAGAGATATAGATCAATGCAACAGAACAGAACCCTCAGAAATAATACCACACATCTACAACTACCTGATCTTTGACAAACCTGACAAAAACAAGAAATGGGGAAAGGATTCCCTATTTAATAAATGGTGCTGGGAAAACTGGCTAACCATATGTAGAAAACTAAAACTGGATCCCTTCCTTACACCTTATACAAAAATTAATTCAAGATGGATTAAAGACTTAAATGTTATAACTAAAACCATAAAAACCCTAGAAGAAAACCTAGGCAATACCATTCAGGACATAGGCATGGGCAAGGACTTCATGTCTAAAGCACCAAAAGCAACGGCAACACAAGACAAAATTGACAAATGGGATCTAATTAAACTAAAGAGCTTCTGCACAGCAAAAGAAACTACCATCAGAGTGAACAGGCAACCTACAGAATGGGAGAAAATTTTTGCAATCTACTCATCTGACAAAGGGCTAATATCCAGAATCTACAATGAACTCAAACAAATTTACAGGAAAAAAACAAACAACCCCATCAAAAAGTGGGTGAAGGACATGAAAAGACACTTCGCAAAAGAAGACATTTATGCAGCCAACAGACACATGAAAAAATGCTCATCATCACTGGCCATCAGAGAAATGCAAATTAAAACCGCAATGAGATACCATCTCACACCAGTTAGAATGGCGATCATTAAAAAGTCAGGAAACAACAGGTGCTGGAGAGGATGTGGAGAAATAGCAACACTTTTACACTGTTGGTGGGACTGTAAACTAGTTCAACCATTGTGGAAGACAGTGTGGCGATTCCTCAGGGATCTAGAACTAGAAATGCCATTTGACCCAGCCATCCCATTGCTGGGTATATACCCAAAGGATTATAAAACATGCTGCTATAAAGACACATGCACATGTATGTTTATTGTGGCACTATTCACAATAGCAAAGACTTGGAACCAACCCAAATGTCCAACAATGATAGACTGCATTAAGAAAATGTGGCACATATACACCATGGAATACTATGCAGCCATAAAAAATGATGAGTTCATGTCCTTTGTAGGGACATGGATGAAGCTGGAAACCATCATTCTCAGTAAACTATCTCAAGGACAAAAAACCAAACACTGCATGTTCTCACTCATAGGTGGGAATTGAACAATGAGAACACATGGACACAGGAAGGGGAACATCACACACTGGGGCCTGTTGTGGGGTGGGGGGAGGGGGGAGGGATAGCATTAGGAGATATACCTAATGTTAAATGATGAGTTAATGGATGCAGCACACCAACATGGCACATGTATACATATGTAACAAACCTGCACTTTGTGCACATGTACCCTAAAACTTAAAGTATAATAAAAAAAATTTCCAACATCTTTTTCCTGAAATACTAAATTGTATCCTATGATGAAAAATGTGATAATACGTATCAAGATATCTAGTGACTGCTCTGCCTATGGAGCATTCTTTTATTACTTTGCTTTCTTAATAAACTTGCTTTCACTTTTTTAAAACATAAGATATTTAACAAGACACACTACTTCAATGGCTACATAATTCTAGCAAATAATTGTAAAATTACACTTTAGCTATGTCTGCAAAAAGATTACATGTTTGTGAAAAGTGAAGCATCAGAAGACACTAAATATGTGTCTATATAATGTCCTTCAAAAATTCCCTGTGGCATTTGTAAATATCTTGTCAAATTAATAATTTTAGTCAAGATTATAAAAAGGTAAAGCTGAAGTCATACTGTATTAGCAAGTAATTCTGTTGATATGGTTTGGCTGTGGTCCTACTCAAATCTCATCTCAAATTGTAGCTCCCACAATTCCCACGTGTTGTGGGAGAGACCTGGTCAGAAGTAATTGAATCATGGGGGCGGGTCTTTCTCATGCTATTCTCATGATAGTGAATAAGTCTCACAAGATCTGATTGTTTCAAAAAGGGTAGTTTCCCTGCACAAGCTCTCTTCTCTTGTCTGCTGCCACGTGAGATGTGCCTTTCACCTCCTACCATGATTGTGAGACTTCCCCAGCCATGTGGAACAGTGAGTCTGTTAAACCACCTTCTTTTGTATATTGCCCAGTCTCAGGTATGTGTTTATTGGCAGCATGAAAACACACTAATACATCTGTACTGAACATTATGTGTAGAGGAAGGATTTAAAGACATTACCCTAGGTCACCTAAAAAATAGTCTGTTTATCATAATCTAGAAATAACAAGAAACATCAAATTTGCACAACTGGATATACTGATCTTTTACTATACCTATATGCATAAATGTTTATATGCATACATATATTTACATTGTCTGTAGATAAACATATATATGCATATATGTGTATGTATGTATAGTAGTGCGTGTATATATATAAGCATGTGCATATATGTATATAGACACACACATAGCCATTCACTACCTAATGATATTTTCGTCAACAATGGACCACATATTGAGCAGTGATCCCGTAACATTATTATATTGTATTTTTACTATACTTTTCTATGTTTAGATACATAAATACTTACAATTATGTTATAATTATCTACTCTATTCATTACAGTAACATGTTGCACTGGTTTACAGCCTAGGAGAATTAGGCTATACCATATAGCCTAGGTGTGTAGCAGGCTTTACCATCTAGATTTGTAAGTACACTCTATGATGTATGCTCAGTGATGAAATCACCTTACAGTGCATTTCTCAGAATGGATCCTGGTTGTTAAGCAACATATGACTGTGTGTCTGCTATATTTTGCTCTATGGTGGGGTGGGTGCATGTGGGTGTTTCCTGACATGCAATTACTGGTCAAATTGTTTATGTTGATAAGAGAAACCACATTCAGAACTACTGCATGTTGTGGTGAGAGGAGAAAGCTAACTACGAATCCTGGGTGCTGACTCTGCTGTCTTACCTTGGTAAACACATGGCCTCAGACAGTGAGCTAGATTTCTCCAGGAATCAGGAGGTTACTATGTCTAAAAACATTTTTTTAATGAAGAATTAGGCTTATAGATTGTTTGACTGTATCTTTTATGAATAATTATTTAGGCCCTAAAAATCAAAGAATGTAATGAACCATAAAATGATGCTTCTCAGAACTCTCTAGGCCCCATCTTGCAAGGAAAGTGTCAGTGGTAGCTGTGAGCTCCTGTTCTGGACTTGGTGGCTTCTAAGGAGAGTGTGGTGTAATTGGCTTCACCTATTTCTGCACAGTGTGGCCACTCGCTCCAGCCAGATTTATGTACACTTTGTTAAATGAATGCAGAACATTACCTAACTTTACAGTGTGGCACATACAAGTGTATGTGTGGAAGGGATCTCTTCCCAACAAGCCATAGTCCTTCCCCCAAGTCACTGCAGTGAAATAGAGGTACTCTTCGTTCTATTACAGGATAGGGTTTAGGGAGAACTTGGAGTAAATCAGTGAGCAAGTGAGCATCATAATTAGTTATCATAGTTTCAGGCCTATTACATTTATGCATATGGATGTTACATAGCATCTGTAATGATTCTGCTGGCCCTTTGAACTTTGTTTACTTGGGGATGCACACATCTGAGGGAACAACAACAAAAACTAATGAGGAAAATTACAACCAACACAGTGGTTCTGAGAACCTTCTTTGCTATACCTGCTGCCTCAAGACAAAGAATTGTCTACTTACTTGAGAAAGTTTGCTGTAATCCTCAATTTAAGATACTGGGATACATTGATTTAAAGAAAGCAGCAAAGTTTTTTGGCATAGGGTCATACAGTAAATGTTGTAGGTTTTGTGAGCCATATGAGTTTTGTCACAACTATTCAACTTTGCTATTGTAGTAGGAAAGCAGAGGTGTAAAAACATATGCAAATGCATATTTATTTACAAACACAAGCACGTGACCACATTTGACCCATAGGCTATAGTTTGTCATCTGCTGGTTTAAAGCAAGTTAGGAAAGACTGGGGTATCATAGACAGAATGTAGGTCAGAAATGAGCAGATACAACAAGCAAAATGGCTGGGCACTGTGGCTCACGCCTGTAATCCCAGGACTTAGGGAGGCTGAAGTGGGCAGATCACTTGAGGTCAGGAGTTCAATACCAACCTGGCCAACATGGTGAAAACCTGTCTCTACTAAAAATACAAAAATTAGCCGGGCATACTGCTATGTGCCTGTAATCCCAGCTACTTAGGAGGCTGAGGTAGGAGAATTGCTTGAACCCCAGGAGGAGGAGGTTGCAATAAGCTGAGATTGTACTACTGCACTCCAGCCTGGGCGCCAGAGTGAGACTCTGTCTGAGAGAAAAAAAAAAAAAAAGCAAGTAAAATCATTACTGCTGTTTATGCTATTTACTGAAAAACCCCTGTGTTTGGGTTAAACTGGGTTTCCATTTGGAAAAAAAAAAATGTTATTACTGCTTAAATTAAGACACACTGAGTGACCTACTTAACCTGTTTTTTCAGGCCCAGTACATGGACTGGAAGTCAAGTTAACTAGGAAATATCATGGTTGCCCTTTCATATAGAGAACTTTAGAGAAGAATTGTAGCACAGAGAGCATCAGAGTAGAGTTCAGTTCTAATTCTGACCCTTAATAGCAAGACATTTAACCTGTCTGATTCTCAGTTTTCTAATCTTAAAAATGGGTATATTTATGTGTATCTATAAGAACTTCTATATTAGATAGTAAGTGTAAACTTCCTAATACAAAGTACTCAATAAATAACAGGAAGCATTTAATCCACAAAGTCCTTGTTTTATGATAGTAAGTAGTAGTACAACTTAAACAACTGAATAGATAAAATGTTAAGGTCAAAGTTGTTTTGCTTATAATCATTGGCATAAAAGGTATTGCTCTAAATCTGGGCCCAACTGTGGTTAAGGTCAGTTATTGTATACATGATCAATTTTAAGTCTAACAATATTTTTGAAGAACCAAATTAGAGCCTAGTAGTTTTCTCTAGTTTTTATTTTTATTTGAATAATTTATGTCCTATTCAAATAATTTCTACTCATTTAAGTAATTTCTATATTATTTTCTTCTTTTTACTTAATTAGCTTTTATTATTTTAATATTTCTATACTTTTTTCCTTTTACTTAATTAGCTTTTATTTTCTAGTTTTTTTAGGTAGAACTTCCAATTATTAATTTTAAATTTCTTTTCTAACAGCATTTAAATATACTATAAATTATTACACTAAGCATGGTTTTACCTGTATCACATACATTTTGATATATTACATATTATCAAGTCCAAAATATATCTAATTTTTAAATATCTAAAAACCATTTCTGTCACCCAAAAATTATTTAGAAATGGGCTAATTACGTTCCAAATATTTTCATTATCTATTTTTCCTGATCCTCTCCCTCCTCTCACCTTCCAACCTCTGAGAGCTCCAGTGTGTGTTGTTCCCATCTATGTGTCCATGTGTTCTAACCATTTAGCTCCCACTTACAAGTGAGAACATGCATAATTTGGTTTTCTGCTCCTGCATTAGTTTGCTAAGGATAATGGCCTCCATCTCCATCCATGTCCCTGCAAAGGACATGATCTTGTCCTTTTTTATGGCTGCATAATATTCCATGGTGTATAACTCTTTGATGAAGTAATCTGTACAACAAACCCCTAGACACATGTTTACCTGTGTAACAAAGCTGCACATATACCCCTCAACCTAAAAGTTAAAACAAAAGTAATAAATTCCAAATGTTTAGTGAGATCATTGATTTTTATTTACCAATAATTCCCATCTTATTTAATAATGATTTCAAATTCAATTCCACTGTGGTCAGAGAACATTTTCTGAAATTTATATATGTCCTTTAGAATTTCAGATATTATAGTTTTCAGTCAAAAATTTCTATTTTATTTTTGTGTCCTTTTCCTTTTGTTTTTACATATTTTTATTGATGATATGCATCCTTTGTTTTAAATTGCCTGATACATATTTATTTGTCAGTTTTATTTTTGAAATACAGCATCTGAGACCACAGGGTCTATTTGCATGCTTTTTTTAAAAAATTATGAGTTATATTCCCTGATTCTTTGCATGTATAATGTTTCTGGTTAATTTTATGCCAACTGTTGTGGACTATACATTGTAGAGAACTGGTATTACATTACTTTCCTTTAAAAAGCATTGCATTTTGCTTTGAGATACAGTTAAAATAGTGGAGGTCACTACTAGTAATGTCATGCTTGATTTTATGTTTTGCTAGGGCAAGTCTATTTTAATTTTGTGCTCATTCCTAGAATTTGGCAAATACTCTAGAACAAGAGTAGGCAAACTAAAGTCTGCAGGCCAAATAATCTGATTTTTATATGTTTAGTTTTGCTTTAAAATATATTTTTCAACATACCAATGCCTATTTGCTTATGAATTGTCTGTAGCATCTTTGCCAGTAAGATTGAAAAGCTGAGTAGTTGGTATGGAGATCATATGGCCATGAAAACCTAAAATAATTGCTAGCTGGCCTTTTATGTAAAAGCTCTGTGAATCTATGCTTCTAAACCACAGACTTGCTTTCTCATTAGAATATAGAATATGTCGAAGAGAATATCTCTACTCCATATGGCTTGGAAGTCTAGAATTTCCAACACCATGAAATCTCTAGTATATTTATTTAGCAGTTGGTCCTGCGGTAACTCTTTTTCTTTTTCTTTAAGCCTCATAACACATAGCCAAGCTTTCAATGAGGTCTCTAGAAGAAACAACAGACGTTTTGGAGACCTCTCTGGGTGTAGCTCTCTCCTTTTTGGTATAATGCTTGACAAATTCCAAAGTTCAGCACCCTCAAACTTCTATTTCTATTTCCCCAGCTTCTCAAGAGAGCTGTTTTCCACTTGGCCTTCACACCCTTGTTCTGCAGCCAGAAAATGCTGTAGGATGAAACCTCAGACATGTTTCCGTTCTCTCAAAAATCTAAGACCTGTGCTAACTATTGTAGAAAGCCTGAAAAATGTCATCTTTCATATCTGTTCAGTGCTATCATTGTTTACAACAATAAGGTAAACCCAGCACAATTATCCCGCTGTATCTAGAAGTGAAGCTAATAATAATAATTCAATATTGATTTATACAATGAAAATGTGATAAATTTCTCTTACAGTTAATAGTGAGATTTGGAGTATGTCGTAGAAAAATTGTGTGGTTACCTACCACGTTTAAACTTGCTAGACAATCTGTCAATGAACAGATAATCAAATTTTGAATGTAGTCTACAACTCTGTAGGAATTAGAAACAGAAGTTATAGAGGAGATAATGAAAGTATAATTTTTTAATTAACAGAAAAAGTTTCTCAGTATTTATTTTATTTTATTTTATTTTATTTTATTTTATTTTATTTTATTTTATTTCATTTTATTTTAGATACTGAGTCTTGCTCTGTTGCCCAGGCTGGAGCGCAGTTGCACAATCATGGTTAATAGCAGCCTTGAAATCCTAGTTTCAAGCAATCCTCCCACCTCAGCCTCCTGACTAGCTAGGACTACAGGTGCATGCCACTGCACTCAGTTAGTTTTTAAATTATTTATTATTGAGACAGGGGGTTGCTATGCTGTCCATGTTGGTCTGAAAGTCCTGAACTCAAGCAATACTCCCACCTCAGCTTATCAATCAATTTGCTGGGATTACAGGCATGAGCCACCATCCCCAAACCAAGATACTTACTTTAAACTAAATACATACAATAGCATAGTAGCTCAGTCCTGTGTCTTCTAAAAACTATGTCTTAATTATTAAATGAAGAAATATATATGTATGATTTATAGATTAATTGAAGATACTTAACTTGACAGTTCTAATGTTTATATTAATAACCAGTTTAAATATAATGAATGCCAACAATACTAATAATAATTACATAGAAAAAAGAAGCATTGTTAATTTGCTAAAAAATTGTTAACATGGAAAATTACAGCTAAAGGAAATAGTTGCAGAATTTAGTCCTAGATTAAAATGACAGAATTGTGCTTTATATTAGGAGGGTCACATTTTCAACTGAACAGATGTAATCTTCAATTTGAGATCACTATATTTAGCCAACTTTTTCCAACACTCATCCATCTCAATTAAGCAAATTATATATGTAATTATCTTATTGAATTAGCCTTAATCATGTGCATTATCATCTTCAAAATGTCAAAGTACTAAAAATTAATAGTGTCTATATTTTAAGACTCATTAAAGTATTTTAAGATCCCAGAATTATTAGCTAATAAAAGGTTCCAAGCCATGTAAGCACTAATCCAAATGTTTGAAGAATTTGTACCTTTATTTCTGAACAGAAATTGTACTGAATTTATAAAACCAATTGTAGATAATTAGTGAGTATTATTTGACCAGTTCTGGTAAGAGCTGAGGAAAGTATGTATGTATGTATGTATGTATGTATGTATGTATGTATGTATGTATGTATTTTAGACAACATGCTTCTTTGGTTTAGAAACAGTCAAACTGGAGCTAGAGGCTATTATCCTTAGCAGACTAAGGCAAGAACAGAAAATCAACTACCACGTGTTCTCACTTATAAGTGGGACCTAAATGATAAGAACTTATGATCATAAAGAAGGAAACAACAAACATTATTAGGGTCTATTGACACGGGAGGGTGGGAGCAGAGAGGGAAGAAGAAAAGATAACTGTTGTTTACTGGGCTTAATACCCAGGTGATGAAATAATATATACAACAAACCTGCTTGACACGTGTTTAACTATGTAACAAACCTTCACATCTACCCCCAAACCTAAAATAAAAGTTTAAAAAATAATTAAGAAGACAAAAAGAGAGAGAGAGAAAAAAAGCTAATAGTAATTACATTGTTAAAGAAGCTAATAAGTAGCATACCAACTACTGACTGCTTATCATAATATAGTTTGCATTTTAGTGTCTATATTTTACTGTTTTACATTAATATCTACCTTTTCTTCTTTAATATCTTCCAACATAGAAATAAGTCACACAAATCTTAAATGTATTTTTATAAGCACACCAGGCAGGATATTTTGCTTAGCTTTAAGTAACTGGAAGTAATTTGTGGTACTAATTATGGACAAAAATGACAAGGCGGGCCATGCGAGAGACAATTTTTTTAATATATTGGCTTTCTGCAAGAATTATATAGGCAAAATACTTTCAAAGCTGTAGGTAACACTGGCTTCAAAAGTGTACAAAACGAAAACAAATGAACAAAAATATACACAACCTCAAACGATGGCATTGCTGGCTTTGAAGTCTCAATCACGGGATGCAAATACTTTCTAACAAAGCTGAATATGTTAAAATTTATAATGGAAAAAAATTTAAATACCTCGTTATCCCTCTCATTCAGTGCATAATAACAAAGAATGTTTGGTCTGGAGTCAGGTACAGCATGGAACAAAATAACCATTACTTACATTAAAATATAAAGTTAATTATACGAGTATTTTTAGCTCTGGGCATTAACAATTACCAAAAATATTTGAATGCAATTTTAGGTGTAAATTATATATTTGATTAGCATATTTAGGACTGATGTAAGTAAAATCCATATAGATCTGTATTTCTAAATAGGAAAAATTGGCTATGTGTCAATTAATTAATATTTTCTAATTATATTCATGACTGAGCTTATAAAGGGCATTCAGGAGAAAATAATACATTAAAATCCTGTATAGATTATTTCTAACTAACATTCTAATTATTTAAAAATCTGGTTGAAGAATACAATATAAAAATACTTTATTCATACATGATGCTGTTAAAAGAAATAAATATTCATTAAGAATGTTGAAGCCGGGCGCGGTGGCCCATGCCTGTAATCCCAGCACTTTGGGAGGCTGAGGCGTGCAGATCACAAGGTCAGGAGATCAAGACTGTCCTGTCTAACACGGTGAAACCCCGTCTCCACTAAAAAAAAAAAAAAAAAAAAAATAGCGGGGCATGGTGGTGGGCACCTGTAGTCCCAGCTACTCGGGAGGCTGAGGCAGGAGAATGGCATGAACCCAGGAGGCAGAGCTTTCAATGAGCCGAGATCACTCCACTGCACTCCAGCCTGGGCGACAGAGCGAGACTCCGTCTCAAAAAAAAAAAAAAAAGAATGTTGAATATGGGTTCCCAATCTTTTCTGGCTTATAGGGTTCCTACTGAAAAGTCTAATGTTAGCCTGATGGGGTTCTCTTTGTAGGTAACTAGCCCCTTCTCTGTAGCTGCCTTTACATTTTTTTCTTTTACTTTGATCTTGGAGAATCTGATGATCATGTGTCTTGAGGATGATCTTCTTATGTAGTATCTTCGAGGAGTTCTCTGCATTTCCTTAATTAGAATGTTGGCCTCCCTAATGAGGCTGGAGGAATTTTCAGGGACAATATCCTGAAACATGTTTTTCAAGTTGCGTGCTTTCTCCCCATCTCTTTCAGGGATGCCAATGAGTTGTAGTCAATAGGAGCTGGATATAGTAAGATTGACAAATAGGATTTCCCAGTGCTCTTCTCCCTGCAGTAATATCAAGTTAAAAAATTATCTGTGCACAGAAATCCCTTACAAGAGCTAAGGAAACAAAGTGAGAAATTACAGCAACTGACTGTAGCACAGAAATAAGAAAAAAAAACATTAAAGGGAGTCAGTAGGATAATTTTACATTATTTTTGTTATCACTCTCCCAACCCCACGTGGCAAAGTTTAGAAAGACATACCTTCCATGTGGGAAAGGAGAGGAAAAATGAGCACCGGACTTTACCTCACACACTCACACTAGGTCTGCCCAAGTAAAACTTAGTGTTGGGAAGACCCCCACAGACCCAGACACCGGCCACAGTCTACAGCTCTAGGCCCACCCAGTGTCAATCAGAATCCCACAGGCCCAGTCTCCAGGTGTGATAGTTAATATTGAGTGTCAACTTGATTGGATTGAAGGACATAAAGTATTGTTCCTGGGTGTGTCTGTGAGGGAGCTGCCAAAGGAGATTAACATTTGAGTCAGTGGACTAGGAGAGGCAGACCCACGCTCAGTTTGGGGGCGTAGGGGCACCATCTAATCAGCTGTCAGTATGGCTAGAATACAGCAGGCAGAAGAATGTGGAATGACTAGACTGGCTGAGTCTTCTGCCCTTCATCTTTCTCCCTTGCTGGACACTTCCTGCCCTCAAACATCAGACTCCAAGTTCTTCAGCTTTTGGACTCCTGGACTTACATCAGTGGTTTGCAGGGGCTCTCAGGCCTTCGGCCATAGATTGAAGGCTTTACTGTCAGTTTCCCTACTTTTGAGATTTTGAGACTTGGACTGGCTTCCTTGCTCCTCAGCTTTCAGATGGCCTATTATAGGACTTCACCTTGCGATCCTGTGAGTCAATAATCCTTAATAAACTCTTCTTCATATATACATCTATGCTATTAGTTCTGTACCTCTAGAGAACCCTGACTAATAGATCAGGCCTGTCAGCCTCTGTCTCTAGGACTGCCCTCAATCAGACCAACCCCAGTGCATCCAGGCTCCAGGCTGGCTCCAGCTTTAGGTAAGCTCCAATCCAATGCCACTGAACTTTGGTCCCAACCCAGGACCAGGCCACCCCCAACAGACTCAGGCCCCAGGGGTAGTCCCAGGATTCTAGACTCCAGGTTAGTACCCATTGCCCCAGGCTCCAAACTGCTCATAGCACAAGGCTGGCTGCATAGGCCTGGTCTAGCACCCGGGTGGCCCCAAATTTCTAGTCATGAGGCCAGCACTCACAGACCTAACCCTCCGGTCAGCCCCTATGGATGCAGATTTCAGGCCTACCCAGCCACAAGTAATCCCTTAGGCTCTAGGCCCACCCGGCAGTTATAAACCAACCCAGAGCCAAGTCAGCTCACAGAGACCCAGGCTTCAAGCCCATACCACCTCCAACTTGATATGACTAATCTCAGACACCAGGCCAGTTCCATAGATACAGATTATAGGCCTGCTAAATGGAAGACTGCCCCACCTTCTAGGCCTGGCCCAGCTGTTCCATGTTCTAGTAGAACCAGATTCAGGCTCATCCCAGTAGTCCCTAAGCACTGAATTGGCACCTAAAGACATAGGCTCCAGTGCATACAACCCAAGGCCCCAGGCCAGGCCACATGGCTTCAGGCTCAAGTCTAACAGCTGCAATCCCAGTTTCCATATCTGCTCCCACAAACTCAGTTTCAATGCCTGCCTAGAACGAGCCTGGCCTCATAATTTTAGCCTGGTCCATGTGGCCCTTAGCTTTAGTGAACCCAGGGTCATGGTCAAGGTCCAGGCCTGCCCTAGCAGAGCCAGCACCTAGACCCACTCCTGTTACCCATGGTTCCACCAGCCTCCACAGAAAGAGGCTACAAGACCACCCCTGTAAACTCAGGCTTCAGGCCCTTCTCTACAGACTCAAGCTCCAGGCCCACCCCAATGTCAGGCCTGCCCCTGGGGACTCATGTTCTAAACCCATCATGGAGGATGTGGGCACCAGGGCTATCCCAGTATCTGGATAGCATCTGTATATTCATGCTCAGGGTCTACCTCAATGACAGATCAGTGTCTGTGAACCCTGGCTATGAATACAAGCTCCATTCCTATCCACACAGACTTAGGTTCCAGGTTCATCTACTCAGACCCAATTGGTCCAAAGCAGTCAGTTTATACTCCAGGCATAACTCCATGAACCTAGATGCCAGGCCTATCTACCTGCTGCTCCAGGAACCAGGGAAGACTACCTGAAGACTCTAAACCAAGTCTACATACCAGCCACTCCAGATGACTTCCCCAGAATTTTTGAATGGGTTGACTGATCAAGAACTGTCTCAAACAAAACCAGTACACAAAGAGTGGAATAAGTTTCTACTTCTTCAAATATACAGACATCAATGTAAGACAACAAGAAACACAAAAAACCGAGGAGATATAATACAACTAAAAGAACACAATAATCTCCCAAACTGACCTCAAGGAAATGAAACTATATAAATTACCTGACAAAAACTTCAACATAATTGTTCTAAGAAAATTCAACAAAATTTAAGAAAATAAAGAAAAGCAATTTCATGAAATCAGGAAAACAATAAACAAACAAAACAATAAGTTTAACAGAGATATTGACGTTTTTATAAAGAAATCAAACAGAAATTATGGAGAGAACTGCATACAAAATTATTTAAAAGTCAAAAAACTATAGATGTTGACATGAATGCAGTGAAAAGGAAATGCTTATACACTGCTGGTAGGAGTGTAAATTAGTACAACCTCTATGGAAAACAGTATGAAGATTTTTCAAAGAACCAAAACTAGACCTACCATTTGATCCAGTAATCCCACAACTGGGTACCTTCCCAAAGCAAAGGAAGTCCCTATATCAAAAAGACACCTGCATGCATATGTTCATGGCAGCACAATTCACAATTTCAAAGATATGAAATCAACCTAAGTGTCCATCAAGTGATGAGTAGATAAAGAAAGTGTGATACACACGCACACACACACACACAATATATCATTGTGGTTTTAATTTGCATTTCCATGATTAGTGATGTAGTTACTGCCATAATTTTTTTTAAACAACTTTAATATTCTCTGTTAAAGATATTGTCTTAGTTATTGTTTTTTGATTACACACACACAAACACATACACACACACCATGGAATCCTACTCAGTCATAAGAAAGAATAAAATAATGTATATTGTAGCAATTTTGATGGAACTACAAGCCATTATTCTAAGTGAAGTGTCTCAGAAATTAAAAACCCAATACTACATATTCTCACTTATAAATGGTATCTAAGTTATGGTTACACAAAGGCATACAGATTGGTATACTGGACACTGAACAATCAGAAGTGGGAAGGCTGGAAAGGAGGTGAAAGATAAAAAACTGCATATTACGTACAATGTTCACTCAAATCCCAGACTTCACCACTGTATTAGTCAGGGTTCCCTAGAGGGTCAGAACTAATAGGATAGGTAGATAGATAGATAGATAGATAGATAGATAGATAGATAGATAGACACATAGACAGATAGATACATAGATATAGATAGATATAGATATCTATAGATAGATAGAGAGATAGGTATATAGGATATCTATATCTATATATGAGAAGTTTATTAAGTATTAACTTACATGATCACAAGGTAACACAATACACTGTCTGTAAGCTTGAGGAGCAAGGAGAGCCAGTCTGAGTCTCAAAACCAAAGTACCTAGAGTCCGATGTTTTAGGGCAGGAAGCATCCAGCATGGGGGAAAGATGAAGGCTGGGAGGCTAGGCCATTCTCTCCGCTTCACGTTTTTCTGCCTGCTTTGTATTTGCTGGCAGCTGATTATATTTTGCCCACCAGATTAAGTGTGGGTCTGCCTTCCCCAGCCCACTGGCTCAAATGTTAATCTCCTTTGGCAATACTCTCACAGACACACCCAGGATCAGTACTTTGCATCCTTCAATCCAATCAAGTTGATACTCAATATTAACCATCACAACCACTAACAAATTCATCCATGTAATGAAAAGCCACTTGTACTCCTAAGGCTATTAAAATAAATAAATAATGCAATTATGGACCTATAAAATACAATGAATAAAATAAAATAGAGAGCATAAACAATATAATTTTTTACACACACACACAAAGAAATCTGTGAACTCAATGACAGTTTATTTGAAAATACACAGTCAGAGGAGGAAAACAATGAAATAGAATAAAGAGAGAATAAAGAATGTATGGAACAGCATCACAAAAGAAATTATTAGAGTTATATGAGTTTAAGAGGAAGAGAGCATAAGATGTAAGGAAGGGATCCAGTTTCAGCTTTCTACATATGGCTAGCCAGTTTTCCCAGCACCATTTATTAAATAGGGAATCCTTTCCCCATTGCTTGTTTTTCTCAGGTTTGTCAAAGATCAGATGTTGTAAATATGCGGCATTATTTCTGAGGGCTCTGTTCTGTTCCATTGATCTATATCTCTGTTTTGGTACCAGTACCATGCTGTTTTGGTTACTATAGCCTTGTAGTATAGTTTGAAGTCAGGTAACGTGATGCCTCCAGCTTTCTTCTTTTGGCTTAGGATTGACTTGGCGATGCGGGCTCTTTTTTGGTTCCATATGAACTTTAAAGTAGTTTTTTCCAATTCTGTGAAGAAAGTCATTGGTAGCTTGATGGGGATGGCATTGAATCTATAAATTACCTTGGGCAGTATGGCCATTTTCATGATATTGATTCTTCCTACCCATGAGCATGGAATGATCTTCCATTTCTTTGTATCCTCTTTTATTTTGTTGAGCAGTGGTTTGTAGTTCTCCTTGAAGAGGTCCTTCACGTCCCTTGTAAGTTGGATTCCTAGGTATTTTATTCTCTTTGAAACAATTGTGAATGGGAGTCCACTCATGATTTGGCTCTCTGTTTGTCTGTTATTGGTGTATAAGAATGCCTGTGATTTTTGTACATTGATTTTGTATCCTGAGACTTTGCTGAAGCTGCTTATCAGCTTAAGGAGATTTTGGGCTGAGACAATGGGGTTTTCTAGATATACAATCATGTCATCTGCAAACAGGGACAATTTGACTTCCTCTTTTCCTAATCGAATACCCTTTATTTCCTTCTCCTGCCTAATTGCCCTGGCCAGAACTTCCAACACTATGTTGAATAGGAGTGGTGAGAGAGGGCATCCCTGTCTTGTGCCAGTTTTCAAAGGGAATTCTTCCAGTTTTTGCCCATTCAGTATGATATTGGCTGTGGGTTTGTCATAGATAGCTCTTATTATTTTGAGATACGTCCCATCAATACCTAATTTATTGAGAGTTTTTAGCATGAAGCATTGTTGAATTTTGTCAAAGGCCTTTTCTGCATCTATTGAGATAATCATGTGGCTTTTGTCTTTGCTTCTGTTTATATGCCGGATTACATTTATTGATTTGTGTATATTGAACCAGCCTTGCATCCCAGGGATGAAACCCACTTGATCATGGTGAATAAACTTTTTGATGTGCTGCTGGATTTGGTTTGCCAGTATTTTATTGAGGATTTTTGCATCAATGTTCATCAAGGATATTGGTCTAAAATTGTCTTTTTTGGTTGTGTCTCTGCCCGGCTTTGGTATCAGGATGATGCTGGCCTCATAAAATGAGTTAGGGAGGATTCTCTCTTTTTCTATTGATTGGAATAGTTTCAGAAGGAATGGTACCAGTTCCTCCTTTTACCTCTGGTAGAATTCGGCTGTGAATCCATCTGGATTCATTTTTGGTTGGTAAGCTATGGATTAAAGGCTTAAACGTTAGACCTAAAACCATAAAAACCCTAGAAGAAAACCTAGGCATTACCATTCAGGACATAGGCATGGGGAAGGACTTCATGTCTAAAACACCAAAAGCAATGGCAACACAAGACAAAATTGACAAATGGGATCTAATTAAACTAAAGAGCTTCTGCACAGCAAAAGAAACTACCATCAGAGTGAACAGGCAACCTACAAAATGGGAGAAAATTTTCACAACCTACTCATCTGACAAAGGGCTAATATCCAGAATCTACAATGAACTCAAACAAATTTACAAGAAAAAAACAAACAACCCCATCAAAAAGTGGGTGAAGGACATGAAAAGACACTTCGCAAAAGAAGACATTTATGCAGCCAAAAAACACATGAAAAAGTGCTCATCATCACTGGCCATCAGAGAAATGCAAATCAAAACCACAATGAGATACCATCTCACACCAGTTAGAATGGCGATCATTAAAAAGTCAGGAAACAACAGGTGCTGGAGAGGATGTGGAGACATAGGAACACTTTTACACTGTTGGTGGGACTGTAAACTAGTTCAACCATTGTGGCAGTCAGTGTGGCGATTCCTCAGGGATCTAGAATTAGAAATACCATTTGACCCAGCCATCCCATTACTGGGTATATACCCAAAGGACTATAAATCATGCTGCTATAAAGACACATGCACATGTATGTTTATTGTGGCACGAATCACAATAGCAAAGACTTGGAACCAACCCAAATGTCCAACAATGATAGACTGCATTAAGAAAATGTGGCACATATCCACCATGGAATACTATGCAGCCATAAAAAATGATGAGTTCATGTCCTTTGTAGGGACATGGATGAAATTGGAAATCATCATTCTCAGTAAACTATCTCAAGGACAAAAAACCAAGCACTGCATGTTCTCACTCATAGGTGGGAATTGAACAATGAGAACACCTGGACACAGGAAGGGGAACATCACACTCTGGAGACTGTTGTGGGGTGGGGGGAGGGGGGAGGGATAGCATTAGCAGATATACCTAATGCTAAATGACGAGTTAATGGGTGCAGCACACCAGCATGGCACATGTATGCACATGTAACTAACTTGCACATTGTGCACATTTACCCTAGAACTTAAAGTATAATAATAATAAAATAAAATAAAATAAATAAATAAAATAAAATTCAAATAATGTTAAAAAATAGAAAAAGAAGAAGAGAGCAGCAAAGTATTAGATTATTTTTAAAAACAATAGCAGAATGCTTTTCAAATATGAGAAAATATAAAAATATCCATCTAGAGGAAAATCCAAGATCTCTAATCAGATTAACTCCAAATAAGACTACGTCAAGGCATATTATAATCAAATCATCAAGAAGTAAAGATAAAGGAAGATCCTGAAAGCAGCAAGAGAAAAGAAAGAAAAAATCAATTTTAAGAAGAGTTCCAAGAAGGCTAGAAATCAAACATCTTTAATCAGATTAACTCCAAATAAGACTACACCAAGGCATAATATAATTAAGCCATCAAAAATTAAAAATAAAGAGAAGATTCTGAAATCAGCAAGAGAAAAGAAATAAATCAAATGTAAGGGAGTTCCAATAAGGCTATCAGCAGATTTCTCAGTAGAAATACCACATGCCAGGAAAGAATGAAATGATGTAGTCAACGTGTTGAGGGAAATAGAACTGCAAAGTAAGCATACTATAAATAAAAATGTTATTTAGAAATGGAAAATAAAGGCTTTTTCAGACAAATAAAAGCTGAGGGGGTCCATTACCATCAGACCTTCTTTACGAGAAATGCTACAGAGAGTTGTTCAAGCTGAAATAAACAAGAAAATAGTAATTCCTTATCAATTAATAATTACCATGAATGTAAATGGATTAAATTATGCAATCAAAAGGTAAGGAATAACTTAATCAATTAAAAAATAATAATAATGCAGCCAAGACCCAACTATATGCCACCGTTAAGGGAAGCACATAGACTGAAAGTGAAGGAATGGAAAAAATAATCTGTACAAATGAAGACAAAAAGAGAGCAGGAATAGCTATATTTATATCAGATAAAACAGATTTGAAGTCCAAAACTATAAGAAAGGAGGAGAAGGTCATTCATTATATTATGTTAATGGGGTTAATCAAGGGAATATATCATTTATAAATATATATATATATAATCCAAAATTGGAGCTCCCAAATATATTAAAGAAATATTAATAGATAACTATGAAGGGAGAGGTAGACTGTAATACAACATAATTCAACAGCACAATTAAAAATTATTAATCATTTTCAAGTGGGACTTGTCCCTGCGATGCAAGGATGCGACAATATATGCAAGGTAATAAGTGTAATACACCACATTAAGGGAATGATGAAGAACAAAACCATGTGAACATCTCAATAGATACAGAAAAAGCATTTAATAAAATGTATCATATTTTCCTGATAAAAGCTTCAAACAACATAAGTATAAAAAGAAGTACCTCAACACAATAAAAGCCATACATAATAAACCCACAGCTAATATCATCACACTCAAAAGGGAAAAGTTGATAGCTTTTCATCTAAAATATGGAACAAGACAAAGTGTACTCCTGCTACTACTTATTAAGAGGATACTGCAACTTCTACCTAGAGCAAACAGGCAAGAACAAAATGAATAAATGGTATCAAAATTAGGAAAGAAGTTATATTGTTTGTATCTGCAGATGACAGAATCCCATATTTAAAAAACTCTGAAGACTACACAATAAAACTGTCAGAACCAGTCAACAAATTTAGTAAAGTTGTAAGGTACAAAATAAATATACAAAAATCAGTAGTATTTATATATGATGACAACAAAGTATCTGAAAAAGAAATTTAAAAAAGAAACATTTGTGATGACTACAACATGTAAAATAAAATACTTCTGACTAAATTTATCCAAGGAGGAGAAAGAACTGTACACCCAAAACTAGAAAACATTAATGAAGGACATTTCCAAATATATAAATAGACAGAAAAAATTTAGTGTTCCAGGATGAGAAGAATTAATATTGTTAAAATGTCCATACCAAAGTGATATACAGATTTAAAGCATTTACTATAAATATTTCAATAATCTTTTTTTCCACATGAATAGAAACAAAAATCCTAAAATTGTTATGTAACCAAAAAAAAAGCCAGAATAGCCAAAGCAGTCTAGAGTAAAAATGAAAAAACCTAAAGGCATCACACTCCCTGACTGTATTTGTCTGTTCTCACACTGCTAATGAAGACATACCTGAGACTGGGTGATTTATAAAGAAAATAAGTTTAATTGGCTCATGATTCACCATGGCTTGGGAGGCCTCAGGAAACTTACAATCATGGTGGAAGGGGATGCAAACATGTTCTTCTTTACATCACAGCAGCAAGGAGATGTGCCAAGTGAAGTGGGGGGAAAGCCCCTTATAAAACCATCAGATCTCATGAAAACTCCCTCACTATCATGAGAACAGCATGGAGGTAACCGCCCCCATGTTTCAATTACCTCCCACCAGGTCTCTCCCACAATATGTGGAGAACCACAGTTCAAGATGAGATTTTGGAGGGGACACAGCTATACTATATCATTCTGCCCTCGGACCCTTTGAAATCTTATGTCCTCACAATTTAAAACACAATCATGCCCTTCCAACAGTCCCCCAAAGTCTTAGCTCATTCCAGCATTAACTCAAAAGTCCAAATCCAAAGTCTCATCTGAGAAAAGTAGGTCATTTCTGCCTATGAGCCTGTAAAATCAAAAGCAAGTTAGTTACTTTCCAGACACAATGAGAATACAGGCATTGGGTGAATACACCCATTCCAAATGGGAGAAATTGGCCAAAATAAAGGAGCTACAGGCCCCATGCAAGTCCAAAATCCAATAGGGCAGTCATTAAACCTTAAGTTCCAAAATGATCTCCATTGACTCCATATCTCACATCCAGGACATGCTGATGCAAGAGGTGGGCTCCTAGGACTTTGGGCAGCTCTGACCATGTAGTTTTGCAGGGTACAACTCCTCTCATGGCTGCTTTCATGGCTGACATTGACTGTCTGCAGCTTTTCCCGACTCATGGTGCAAGCTGACAGTGGATCTACCGTTCTGGAGTCTGGAGGAGGCTGGCCCTTTTCTCACAGCTGGCAGTGTCCCAGTGGGGACACTCTGTGGGGGTCCAAAGCCAAATTTCCCTTTCGCACTGCCCTAGTAGAAGTTCTCAAAAGAGTGTTCTGCCTTTTGCAGCATACCCCTGCTTGGACATCCAGGCCTTCCCATCCATCCTTTGAAATCTAGGTGGAGGTTCTCAAGCCTCAATTCTTCTCTTCTCTGTACCCACAGGACAAACACCAAGTGGAAGCT
The DNA here is from genome assembly GCF_000001405.40 of Homo sapiens. Classification (NCBI taxonomy): domain Eukaryota; kingdom Metazoa; phylum Chordata; class Mammalia; order Primates; family Hominidae; genus Homo; species Homo sapiens. Next base: position 119,210,879 of record NC_000007.14, on the reverse strand, counting down.
GCCAAGGCTTGGGGCTTACACCCTCTGAAGCCATAGCCCCAGCTGTAACTTGACCCTTTTTAGCCATAGCTGGACTAGCTAGGACACAGGACACCAATTCTCCAGGCTGCACACAGCAGGAGTGCCTGGACCCAGCCCAGGAAACCATGTTTTTTCTCCAAGGCCTTGAGGCTTGTGATGGGAAGGGCTGCTGTGAAGGTCTCTGACATTCCCTGGAGACATTTTCCCCATTGTCTTGGCAATTAATATTTGCCTCCTCATTACTTATGCAAATTTCTGCAGCAGGCTTGAATTTATCCTTAGAAAATGGGTTTTTCTTTTCTATTGCATCATCAGGCTGCAAATTTTCCAAACTTTTATGTTCTGTCAGCTCTTGAATGCTTTGGAATTGAACAACGAGAAAACATAGAAATTTCTTCTGCCAGGTACCTTAAATCATCTCTCAAGTTTACAGTTCCACACCTCTCTAGGGCAGGGGCTAAATGCTGACAGTCTCTTTGCTAAAGCATAACAAGAGTCACCTTTGCTCCAGTTCCCAACAAGTTCCTCACCTCCATCTGAGACTACCTCACCCTGGACTTATTGTCCATATTAATATCAGCATTTTGGTCAAAGCCATTCAACAAGTCTCTAGGAAATTCCAACCTTTCCCACATTTTCACGTCTTCTTCTGAGCCCTCCAAACTGTTCCTACCTCTGCCTATTACCCACTTCCAAAATCACTTCACATTTTTGGGTATCTTTACAACAGCACCCCCACACATGGTGCCAATTTACTATATTAGTTCATTCTGATGCTGCTATTAAAGACATACCAGAGACTGGGTAATTTATAAAGGAAAGAGGTTTAATTGACCACAGTTCAGCATGACTGGGGAGGCCTCAGGAAACTTACACTCTTGGCAGAAGGGTAAGCAAACACGTCCTTCTTTACATAGCAGCAGCAATGAGAAGTGCCAAGGGAATGGGGGGAAATCCTCTTATAAAAACATCAGATTGCATGAGAACTCACTATCATGAGACCAGCATAGAGGTATCCACCCCTATTATCCAATTACCTCCCACTGGGTCCTTTACAGAACACGTGGAGATTATTGGAACTACAGTTCAAGATGAGACTTGGGTAGGAACATAGTCAAACCATATCATTGATTTCAAAATGTATTACAAAGCAATTATAATCAAAACAACATGGTATTGGCAAAAAATATCCTCTTCCCCCCAATAAAAACAGACACATTAACCAATAGAACAGAATATAAAGCCAAAAGATAAAGCTACACATCAATGGTCAATTAATTTTTGTAAAAGTGCCAAGGATGCACGGGAAAAGGACAGAATGTTCAAAAATGTGAAATAACTGGACATCTACATGCAAAAGAATAAAATCGGACCTTACTTCACGCCATATAAAAAAGTCAACTCAAAATCAATTGCAAGACTTGAATGTAAGACCAGAAACTTTAAAACTACTAGAAGAAAATTTAGGAGTAAAGCTCCATTATGTTGATCTCAGTAATCTTATTTAAAATTTTATTTGATTTGTATAACTTTATGAGGTACAAGTATTATTTTGTTATATTGATATATTGCAAAGCATTGAAGTCGGGGCTTTTAGTGTCTATCAGCGATTAGCATACATTATAGACATTAAGTAATTTCTCATCACCCACCCTCTTCTAAGTCTCCACTGTCTGTTATTTCACATACTACCTGTATGTGTACACATTACTAAGCTCTCAATTATAAGTGATAACGTGTTGTCTCTGTGTGTATTTCAATTAAAATAATGACTTCCAGTTTCATCTATGTTGCTGCAAAAGACATAATTTCATTTTTATGGCTGAATAGTGTTTCATTGTGTATCCTTTGCCCACTCATCATTTGATGGGCACTTAGATTGGTTCCATATCTTCGCAATTGTGAATAGTCCTACAATAACTATGTAGATGCAGTTGTCTTTTTATATAATGATTTATTTTCCTTTAGATAGATAGCTAGTTGTGTGATTGCTTGATTGAATTTAGTTCTATTTTTAGTTCTTTGCAAAATCTCCAAAAATTTTCCATAGATGTTGTACTAATTTACTCTTCCACTAACAGTGTATAAGTGCTTTCTTTTCTCCACGTCCTCACTAACCACTGTTATTTTTTCTGTTTAAGAATAGCCATTCTTACTGGGTAAGATGATATTTCACTGTGGTTTTAATTTCTATTTCACTAATGATTAGTGATGATACAAACTTTTTTTCATATTCTTGTCGGACTTTTGTGACTTTTTTTAAAAACAAATTCCTACCGTGTCCTTAGACCATTTTTTAATGGGATTCTTTTGTTGTTGTTGTTGTTGACTTGTATGAGATCCTTGCATATTCTGGATATTAGTCTTCTATTGGATGAATAGTTTGCAAGTATTTTTTCCCATTCTGAGGATTGTCTCTTTACCCTGTTGATTATTTATTTGCTGCACAAAAGATTTTTAGTTTAATTAAATTCCATTTATTTTTGTTTTCATTGCCTGTGCATTTGAGGTCTTGGTTCTGTATTCCTTGCCTGGACCAATGTTCAAAATAATTTTCTCTAGATTTCTTCTGGTAATTTATAGTCTTAGGTCATATATTTAATTATTTAAAATACATCTTAGTTGATTGTTGTATATGATGAAAGACAGAGGCCTCATTTTATTTTTCTGCATATAGAAATCCATTTTTCCCAGCATCATTATTGAAAATGTTGTCCTTTCCCCAGTGTGTGTTCTTGTTGACTTTGTTCAAACTTCAGCTGACTATAAGTATGTGGCCCTATTTCTGGTTTCTCTATTCTGTTCCATTGATCTATATATCTATTTTTGTACCAGCACAATGCGGTTTTGGTTACTGTAACTTTGTAGTACAATTTTATATCAGGTAATGTGATGTCTCCAGCCTGCTTTATGCTTAGTTTTGCTTTGGATATCTGAGTCCTTTTCTGGCTCCATATACATTTTAGGATTATTTTTCTACTTCTGTGAAATGTGATGTTAGTATAATGATAGCAATCACATTAAATCTGTGGATTGCTTTGGGCATTGTGGTCATTTTAAAGATATTAGTTCTTCTGATCCATGAGCATGTGATTATTTTTCATTTGTGTCATTTACTACTTCTTTCATCAGTGTTTTGTAGTTTTCCTCTTGGTTAAATATATTCCTTGTTATTATTTTTGCATCTATTGTAAATTGCATTGCATTCTTGATTTAGTGCTCCAGCTAGATTGTTGTTGGTGTATAGAAATACTACTGATTTTGCATGTTCATTTTGTATGCTGAAACTTTACTAATTCATTCATCAAAATCTAGGAGGTTTTTGGTGGAATGGTTAGGGTTTTCAAGATATAAGACCATATCATCAGTGAACAGGGATAATTTGAGGCCCTGTTTTCCAATTTGGATACGTTTTATTTCTTTTCCTTGCCTGATTCTTCTGGATAGGACTTTCAATACTATGCTTAATAGGAGCGATGCAAATGAGCATCCTTGTCTTGTTTCAGCTTCTAAAGGGAATGCTTTCAACTTTCACCTTTCAGTATGATTTTGGCTGTGAGTTCGCCATATATGGTCTTTATTATTTCTATGCCAGTTTGTTGAGGGATTTTTTATGATGAATAAGTGCTGAATTTTATCAACTTTATGTATCTATTGGGATTATATAGTTTTTGTCTTTAATTCTGTTTATGTGGTGCATCACATTTATTGATTTGCATTATTGAACCATCCTTGCATCCCTGGTATAAAACCCACTTGATCATAGTGTATCATCTTTTGGAAGTGCTGTTGGGTTCAGTTTGCTCGTATTTTGTTGAGAAATTTAGCATTTATGTTCATTGGGGATATTGGTCAATAGTTTCCTGTTATGGTTTTGTATTGGTCTGAATTTAGTATCAAGACCATTTACTGGATATGAAGCCATTTCATAGTGTACACATATTTCAGAACATCGTCCTGTGTACAATAAAGATAAATAATTTTATATGTCAATTAAAATTAATAAATAATTCAGAAAAATAAATATTTTGAACTATATTGAAGAGTACTTATAGTAAAAAATACATAATGTAAATATTTTCAATAAATATGTAAATTCAATTTTAACAGAACAAAACAATTTTTAAAGGATAGAAGATAGATAAAGTGAAAATTTTGACAAAAAATTCATTCAAAATTAAATCCACTGGAATATACTCTAATTTTTAAAATTTATTTTTGGTAATTCCCTGACTTGCATGAACTGGCAGGAATCTACAGGTTGGTGTGTGGATGGGATGTTCAGTCTTGAATTATCTTGGCACTATTGGTTGTGTGTGTATTGTGAATAAAAATTATGGCTGCCTCAATAATGACCTTCCAGTGTGATACTCACTAGACACAAGCAGCCGTTTCCATAACCTCTGATAATTTAATTCTACTACAGGGTTCTTAAGAAACTGTCATGGGGTAGGTACTAGTCATGTGCACATGGTTATCCACTTCTCATGTTTCAAGCAGGATTTTAGCCTTGAGTTGACAGTCTGGAATCAATAATATACTCTGCATTTAAATAAATGTCTCAACATTTTCTAGACAGTAACCCCCAAACAGCCCAATTCATGCAAAAAGTAAAAGTGTGTGATATTCAACCAATCAAATGCTCAGAAAAATAAAGTGACCTTTTTAAATTAGAAAAACTATAATTTCCTACTCAAGGTGAATGAATACAGTGACTAGAAAATCATTTTTTCTTTACGCCTGCACGTAGTAATTACAGCTTCAATTTGCACAACTTTTTTTCCTTGTTCAGAAAAGGTACATGTTATATTATATCCCACATGCATTCTTATTCTCTCTAGAGCAATTATGTAGCTTTATTTAAAGGGCAAATAAAGCATAAAATTATACCCTTAAAAAGTAGTTTGAACTAACAGTTAAATTTTGGCTTAGAATTTTACCAGTGTATTAAATAGAAATGGAAGACAAAAATAATAACTTGTAGGATGCCGTAATCACTGGGAAAGTGGGAGAAAGGTCTTATAAAATCATGTACTGAAACAATTGAAATGGTTGATGTAATGAGAACTGAGCATGAGAGTTTCCAACAGCCAACTTCACAGCCTTTCTATCTAGTAGTATCAATATCATATATGTATTTTGTTCACGATTTTACAAAGAAAAAAAGCAAATATTTTAGATATAGTTAAAAGGGATTGGAAATAATTGGGTGAGAAAATATATGTCAAGAAAAGTCTAAAGACTTTCCTAAGTTCAAACTAGTAATTATTTAAACAATAAAAACTAAATCCCAATATTCTGATTTTCAATTGAAAATACTCTCCAATAAAAAGAAAATCAATAAATTTATTGTAACTTAAATATTAATTATCAATAAAGATAATACAATCATCTGAAAGTATATTAAGTCTTCTTTTTTTTTTTTTTTTTTTTTTGTTGAGACAGAGTCTCATTCTGGCGCCTAGGCTGGAGTGCAGTGGTGCAATCTTGGCTCACTGCAACCTCCACCTCCCTGGTTCAAGCAATTCCCCTGCCTCAGTCTCCTGAGTAGCTGGGATTACAGGTGCATGCCACCACACTCAGCTAATTTTTTTTTTTTAATTTTTAGTAGAGACAGGGTTTCACCATACTGGCCAGACTGGTCTCGAACTCCTGACCTCAGGCAATCTGCCTGCCTCTGCCTCCCAAAATGCTGGGATTACAGGCATGAGCCACCGCGCCTGGCCTATTAAGTCTTTTTTTTTTTTCTTTTTTCAGCCACAATTTCCTCTAGCTTTAACCAAATCAAGGATCCCAAGTAGTTTGCTAAAGATTTCTCTCCAAATGAACTGTAAAAAGTCAAGTTGCTGCCCAGAACAAATAGACTAGGAAGCAGACAAATGTATTTGTCAAGGTTAGAACTCTTACAGAATTATTACATGATTATGGATAGTTGAGGTTTTGTTGTAAGCATACTTCAATTTCCAAAATATTTTATTCATGTCTTGATATTAATAACATATAGGACTAGATGATCTTTGAGATCCCTTCCATTATTGACATTTTAAGAAATGTGAGTATTTTAGTGTTACTTATCATATATGGAAATATGATTTGCCTTTCATTATTTTTAAAAGTGCCAAAACAATGACTGTTCTGAAAAAGAATAAAACACTATTCAATATTTAAAGTCCCAACCAATGTCAATTTACCTGGTTACCTTCTGTAGAAGCAATTGCATCTATCAGCATTTTCCTGGAGTATGCTTTCACCTCTCTGGGGGCACTTAACATTTCATTCTGTATCATGGCTATTTATTTTCATGTCTCTCCCCTACTAGTTTTTAAACTCCTTAAGGGCAGAGTCTGTATTTTATTCATTTTATATACCTCTAGAACCACTATGGTGTCATACATATAGGAGGCATGCCCTGTGAAATTAATGAATGAATGCCATTAAAAAGTCTGTACATCAAAACACACAGAATGCAAAGATAAATCAACCTGTCATATATGCAATTCTAGAATAGCATTATCTTTTCTATAGCAGTTCTTATATGTGATGAATCATGATATAAAACTGGACATGCTTTGAAGAACATTACCTCATTGTTCATTTATTCATTAAGCTATAAATTTTTATAAGAATGAAACTAAATATAATCCCTAAAGTAGTCAAAAAGAAAGTATGATCATGATGTATTGTTCTAGTAAAACAGCCTTGATACACTAGCTAAATCAATATACAATATGCTTTATTTTCCATTCTAACGTAAGAAGAAAAAATGAAGCTTACACAAATTATGGATAATTAATGATCATTTATATTATGGTACTGTTGCACAATATACTTGGGAGAGTAAGTTTGTATAGTATGTTTGAATGCCCATTTAACAAAACCAGAAACATTTGTGCATTATTTGGTTCCTCGGCTTTATATATAGAAAGCTATATAAGACAACAATTAGCATGAAAATCTAAATGTTTTATTTGCGGTATTCTTTATTATAGTAATAAAAATAAAAATGACCCATAGGTCCAGCAATGAAAAATGTTTTAAAAATCATGATAATTTTATAAAATGAATATCTATGTAGTTACCTAAAAATATTTATGTAAAAGAATATTTAATGATGTACAAAGATGTTTAAAACTTAATGCTTTAAAAAATGAAATTATAAAGTAGCATGTTAAAAAAATCATATGTAAAATCTTAACAAAACAAAATGCTAAAAATTTAATTAATTACTTTATAAGAATATAGTAATAACCTTTTATTTAATTCACTCACCTTCATGTCTACTATTAATTCCTATGTCATTGTTGTTCACCAAAGTTCTGATGTAATATGATTCAGGAAGTATAATTATTTAGTCAAGATAGTGAATAGTAGTATGTCCTAGTAAGCTTAGAATAGAAAATAAAATACAAAATTAAATCTCTCCTCCATGTTTGATATAATGTGTGCCTTCTTGTTCCAGTGTGACTCAAATACATTAATGAATATAATATATATAGAAGGGAAATTTCTGTTTCATATCTTCTTTATGACCATCAATATGTGATCTATTTTGTATCCACTAGTAAATATTTAGTCAGCATCTACTCCTTTCTTTGAATGCTAGGCCAACTGATGCTGATAATAAAAAAAATCAAGAGTATAAGTAATAGTTTCTGTGAGAAGGAAAAGTTGCTAACAAAATATCATGTCGAAGGAAAGCTACTAGAATGTACAATTAAGTGGTCCTTTGTATGTGTGTTTTAGGGGAGAAGTGTCCCTTGACATTGATCAAAGTTGCTCATTTCTATTCCCACTATTTGGTCCTCAAGTCTTCAAAGGCTTCCAGAGCATGAGACTAGATTGCTCATTCATCACATTTTAGAATTTCTGAAGCAGGCTGCTCAGAAAATCCCCACAATATTCAGAAATATTTTAAGAGACTTAATCTGCCCTTTGATGTTCTCTTTATTCAGATTTAATTGCTTTGAAATCAAAAGTACATCAAACATCAAAAAAAGTCCTGTATTCCTGCCCAAGTCTACATGTATTTAACAGTGGGTGAGGAGGGGACAGTCATTTCTGGATTTATAGAAACTAGAAACCATGTAACTCATGTTAACAACTTTTCCCCTTTTTAATGGAACTTTCATGGCTTAGCACCAAAAATCTGTGTTCTGAAAAACTCCTCAGTCCAAAGAAATGTGTATTCTTGGACATTCTAATTTTACCTGGACATAAGAGGAGGCATAATAAACTAATTTAAGTGTTTGATTCAAAACTAGTATCATCCATGGCTGAGAAACTTCAGTCATATATACTAAGAGATCTTTGAAATAAGTTTTCTAGTTATGCTTTATGTTACAAAATTGTTACAGATGTTTAGGATTGCTACAGTCTAATGATAGTGTGCTAACACACTTGATGTGTGTTTATTATGACCAGTATCATGATGAATTTTGTGCACTTTTAAAGTTGTACTCTCAAACCCCTCAAGGACTGTACAAATAAAAACCTAAGAATACTAATGCTTCACTGTGCATTATAGTTGCATAAATAAAGAAGTAACCTTTGGACTAGTATCCACATATACAAGAAACTCAATTCAAGAACATCAACAAGATGAAACAAATGATTCCATTAGAAAGTGGGCAACACACATGAATAGATATGTTTTCAAAAGAAGAAACAATAATGGGCAAAAGGTATATGAAAAAAATGGTCCACATTACTAATAATCAGATAAATGCATATTAAAACCACAATGAGATATCTCACTCTAGTCAGAATGGCTGTTACTAAAAAAGTCTGGTTTCAGTTCTCTGCATATGGCTAGCCAGCTATCGCAGCACCATTAAAATAGGAATTCCATTCTCCACTGTTTATTTTTGTCAACTTTGTCGAAGATCAGATGGCTGTAGGTGTGCAGCTTTATTTCTGGGTTCTTTATTCTGTTGCATTTGTTTATGTTTCTGTTTTTGTACAAACACCATGACGTTTTGGTTACTGTAGCCTTCTAGTATAGTCTGAAGTCAGGTAATATGATCTCTCCAACTTTGTTCTTTTTTTTTTTTTTTCCTGAGACAGAGTTTTGCTCTCTTGCCCAGGCTGGTGTGCAGTGGCGTGATCTCAGCTCACTGCAACCTCTGCCTCCCAGGTTCAAGCAATTCTCCTGCCTCAGCCTCCTGAGTAGTTAGGATTACAGGTGTGTGCCACCACGCCCAGCTAATTTTTGTATTTTTAGTAGACACGGGGTTTCACCATGTTGGCCAGGCTGGTCTCGAACTCCTGACCTCATGATCCACCTGCTTCAGCCTCCCAAAGTGCTGGGATTACAGTCATGAGCCATCATGCCCAGGCAACTTTGTTCTTTTTGTTTAGGATTGCTTTGGCTAGTTGGGCTCTGTTATTTCTTCCATATAAATTTTAGAATAGTTTTTTGTTTTTTTCAAATGTAGTGAAGAGAGATATTTAACTTATTATTTTCCTATTTGGATGTCTTTTATTTCTTTCTCTTACCTGATTGCTCTGGTTAAGTCTTCTAGCACTATATTGAATAGGAGTGGTGAGAGTGGGCATCCTTGTCTTGTTCCTATTGTTAAGGGGAATGCTTCTAGCATTTGCCCATTCAGTATGATGTTGTCTGTGGGTTTGTCACCGACATATCTAATTATTTTGATGTATGTTCATTTGATACCTAGTTTGTTGAGAATTTTTATCATGAAGGGATATTCCATCAAACACTTTTATGCATCTATTAAGATGATCATATGATTTTTGTTTTAATTCTGTTCACATGGTTAATCACATTTATTGATTTGCATATGTTGAACCACCCTTGCATCATCCCAGGAATAAAGGCTAACTGATCGTGGTAAATTAACTTTTTCATGTGCTATTAGATTTGGTTTGACATTATTTTGTTGAAGATTGTTATGGCATCAAGGACATTGTTCTGTAGTTTGTTCTTTTTGTTATGTGTTTGCAGGCTTTAGTGTCAGGGTAATGCTGGTTTCCTTGAATGACTTAGGGAGGAGTATTTCCTCCTCAATTTTTTAGAATAGCTTGAATAGAAATACTAACAGCTCTTTGTGTATCTGGTAGAATTTGACTGCAAATCTACCTGCTTCAAGGCTTTTATGGATTGGTATGTTTTTCATTAATGATTCAATTTTGCAATTTGATATAGCTCTATTCAGAAATTCAATTTTTCCCTGATTCAATCTTCAGAGGTTATGTGCTTACAGAGATTTATCCATTTCCTCTAGACTTTCTAGTTTGTGTGCATAGAGTTATTAATAAAAGTCTCTGATAATCTGTATCTGTGGGATGAGTTGTAACGTTACCATTGTTTCTGATTGTGCATATTTGAAACTTCTTTTTGTTTTGTTTTTGTTAATCTAGCTAGTGGTCATTCAATATTGTTCATCCTTTCAAAGAACCAATGTTTGGTGTTAGTTTGTTCTTGTTTATATAGTTCCTCTAGGTATGATATTATTAATTTGAGATCTTTCTAACTTCTGAGATAGGTGTTTAGTGCAATATATACGTTCCCCATTAAATTGCTTTTGCTGCATCCCAGAAATTTCAGTATATTGTGTCTCTGTTTTCATCGATTTCAAAGATTTTTGTATTTCTACCTTAATTTTGTTGCTTTGCCAAAAGTCATTCAAGAGCAAGTTGTTCAATTCCTATGTAATTGTGGGGCTTGGGGAGATCTTCTTGGTATTAATTTCTGTTTTTATTCCACTGTGATCTGACAGTACAAGTGATATGATTTTCTTTTTCTTTTTCAGCTTATTGACACTTGATTTGTGGCTGAGCATGAGTCCAACCTTGTAGTATGTTCCATGTGTAGATGAGAAGATTATATATTCTGTGGTTGATGGGTGAAGGGTTCTGTTTATTAGGTTTATTATTATTTGCTGTTTATTAGGTAGGTCCAATTGGTCAAGTGTAAATTTTCTTTCCAAAACTCAGTTTTTAGTTTTCTACCTAGATGATCTACCTAATGCTCTCAGTGGGGTTTGAAGTTTCCCACTATTATTACGTGGATATCTTAGTCTTTCCCTAAGTCTCAAAGTACTTGTTTTATCAATGGTGTTGCTCTAATGGTGGATGCTCTAAATAGGTTAACTATCTCATTTAAGTATGGGGTCTTCATGTTGAATTGAACTTTCATCAATATGTAATGCTGTTCTTTGTCTTTTTTTGCAGTTTTTGGTGTAAAGTCTATTGTGTTCAGTATAAGCATAGTGACCCATGGTCTTTTTAAATGTCCATTTGTGAGATAGCTGTTTCTCCAAACCTTTACTTTGATCCAATGAGTGGCATTATGTGTGAGATAAGTCTCTTGAAAACAGCAGATGGAGAGGTCTTGTTTTTTACTCAACTTGGAACTATGCCTCTTAAGTGGGGTGTTTACACTGTTTAGTTTCAAGGTTAGTATTTATATGTGAGGTTTTCTTCCTACCATGGAGTTGTTAGATGTTTCCTTTGTAGCTTCCATTGTGTGGTTATTTTATAAGGTCTGTGGGATAGGTAATCAAGTATGTTTTTGTGTTAGCAGGTATCATTCTTTCACTTTAATGTTTAGAATTCCCTTAAAGATCTTTTGTAAGGCTGGTGTTATAATAAATTCTCTTAGTTATTGCTTGTTTGGAAAAAGGTTTTATTTCACCTTTGCTTACGAAGCTTATATTAGTGGAATATGAAATTCTTGAGTGGAATTTCCTTTCTTTAAAAATGCTTAAAATAAGCCTCCAATCTCTCTTGGTTAGCAAGGATTCTGATAAAAAGTCTGCTATTAGCCTGATGTAGTTCCCTTTGTATGTGATTTAATCTTTTCTTTTTAAAGATTAGTCTTTAACATTGACCTTGGACAGTCTTGTGACTATATGCCTTGGTGATGTTCATTTTGTATAGTATGTCACAGATGCCATATTTATTTCTTGTGTCAGGATGTCTACTTCTCTAAAAAAAGAGAAATTTTCTGGTATTATTCCCTCAAATAGGTTTTCCTGGCTATTTACTATTTGTTCTCTCTCTCAGGAATGCCAGTAATTCATATGTTGTCACTTTACACATTCCCATATTTCTCAAAGACTTTGTTCACTTTTTAAAATTCCTTTTTTCCTTTATTTTTGTCTGACTGGGTTATTTTGGAAGACTGGTCTTCAAGCTCTAAAGTTATTTATTTTGCTCGGTCCAGTCCTTAGATAAAGCTTTCAATTGTATTTTGAAATTCTTTTAGTGAGGTTTCTCCTTCTATAAGTTCTGACTGATTTCTTTTCAAGATGTTTATCTTTTCTTCCTTACCTGCATTGCTTTAGAAGTTTCTTTGCGTTGATTTTCAACCTTGTCTTGGATATTGTTGAATTTCCTTGCAATCCATGCACTGAATTCTTTATATTCATTTCTGAGTTTCTATTATGGTTAGGGATCATTGCTGGAGAGCCAGTATGATCCTCTGGTGTCATCACTTTGACGTTTTTCGTGGTGTCAGTATTCTTTCACTGGTTCCTTCTAATCCAAAGATACTAGCACTTATAAATTTTGTAATTATTTTCATGCAGGTAAGATTTTTTTCTTACTTTCTCTATAATATTAGTTGTTTCCCTTTCCCTGTACCTGCCTCCTAGAGGGGTGTGACTGTAGAGAGTGCTGGGTAGGGGTCTTTTCACTTTGCCTCTGCAGCCCTATGCACTTCTGTCAATAGGTTTTATATTGGGCTTGCAGTTTGACCCACAAGCCAGTAGATGGCGTGGATAGGTAAGAGCCGGTTTTGGCTGCTGTGGCTGCGAATATACTTCATTCTCGTTTACTTTGAGAAGTTCTCTGTTGCCTCAAGCAATGAGCTCATCTGTGGAGTACACATAGTTTCACCTCCCTGATCAGCCTCCGGGGGTTGGGATGGGAAAGATGACGGGGGCCAGGCTGGACAGATCCTCCTACAGGTCCCCTATTAGCAGGCAGAAGCATCCAGTGTTTGACCACCAGGTGCCCAGAGGTTTGCCTAGGCACGGACCTTGGAAACCTCTTTGGCCTCAAGTTTTCTGCACTGAGGGTGGGAGTGGCATAAATTTCTAATTCAAGAGAATAGGTACTCTAGATGTCTAGCGATTAGCCTGGGCATGGAGTATAGAGCTACGCCCTACAGCACAATCCCTGCACAAGAAGGGTACTGCAACTCAGGCTGGTAATCCAGGTAAATTTGTGCTCAAAATGCCGAGAGATTTTCCTGGGCATGGACCGGAGAGGGCCCCGCTACACTACGATCTTTACATAAGAAGGGTGGGGTAGCTCAGGATGCTGAGCCAAGAAAGTAGGTGCTCTGAATGCCTGGAAGTCAGCCTGGGTTTGAATTAGAGAGGTACAGGATTTCTGCACAGGAAGGGCATGGCAGCTCAAGCTGGGCAAGCAGGTCCTTTGAATACCTGGAGTTTTGCCTGGGCATGAAGCAGAGATGTCCACCTGCACCACAATCACTGTGCAGGAAGGGTAGGATCATTCAGGCTGCTGATCCAGGCGAGCAGGTACTCCAAATGCCTGGAGAGCTGCCTGTGTGTGGAGTGAAAAGGGCCTCACTGTACCACCATCCATTCCCAGGATGTGTGGCGTGTCTGAAGCTGCTTAACCAGGCAAACAGTTGCTCTGAATGTCTCTAGATCTGCCTGGGCATGAAGTGGAGAAGGTCAGCTTGCCCCAGGATCTCTGCATAGTAATAGTGGGGCACCTCAGTTTGCTAATCCATACAAATGGGTGCTCCAAATTTGTAGACCTGCCTGGTTGTGGAACAGAGAGGGTCTCACTGCATCACAATCTATGCAGAAGGAAGATGAACAGATGTTCTGAATGCCTGGAGTTTTGCCTGGGTGTAGAGAGGAGAGGGCCCTGCTGTACTATGATCTCTGCTTCATGAAGGGTGGGGTGCCTCAGATTGCTGGTCCATGGGAGTGAGTGCTCTTAGGTGGAGCAGAGAGAATCCCACTACAACATAATCTCAGGGAAGCAGACTGGGGCATGCAGCAAGGGCACACAAACACCATTTCCAGGTCACCAAGCTGGCCCTGGATGCAAGTCTTGTTGCCCAGAGGAAACTGTCACTGTGACAGCTTTCCTCTCACCCCAGGCCTGTGGCAGGAGAGAGCACAATTTCAGTGCCTACTGCTGGGGTGCTTGCCACAGTTCTGGCTGTAGAAGTTTCTAACCCATTCTAGAGCAAGCACTCCAATCTCTGGCCCAAGACTGAAATGCTTGCATGGATGGCCATACTGCTAGGTCTCCAAAGAATAGCTTTATATGCCACTGGATTAAAAATGGCTTCATATGCACCTGGAATAAAAGGCTTCCTGCTGTCAGTCCCAGATCTGGGAAAATGCCGGCTACTTTTCCCAGTGTCTTTTCTTCCCACACCTCCAAGCCTCTCCACATGTTAGTTACAGTGCACGGGAGAAACAAATTGCTCTGCTTCAGCCTGGTTGCTCATAACCCCTGTGGAAAGCTGAGTCACAGAATGAAGCTCTCTGCCTCTCTCATGTATTATGGTTTCACTCACTTTTATCAGCTGGACACTCACATGGGGCTGTTTACCCTCATTTTCTTCCCCAGGATCTGAAGTGTCCTTCATGATTTCAGTGGATTCCCATTTTTCTTCTTGTGTTAAAGCTAACAGAGTTTATCTTAATGCATTATCTTGGTATTTACAAGTGGCTGAGGCATGTTAAAAGCCTCTAATCTTCTATCTTGGAAAAAAATGGCTATTATTAAAAAGACTAAAAATATCCTGTTGGTGAGAAAATGGAGGAAATGGTGGAGGAAAGAATACACTTACACACTGATGGTGGGAATTTAAATTAGTACAAACTCTATACAAAACAGTATAGAGATTTCTCAAAGAACTAAATATAGTACTACTATTCAATCCACTACAGAGTATCTATCCAAAGGAAATCAATATATCAAAAATATATCACACCTGTGCTCTATGTTTACCACAACATTATTCGTGATAGCAAATATATGGAAAATTCAGTGTCTATCCATGGATAATTGGGTAAAGAAAATGTGGTATATATACACAACAAAGTAGTATTCAGCCTTAAAAAAGAATGAAATCATGTCTTTTGTAGCAACATGGATGGAACTAGCAGTTATTAACTGAAACAAACCAGGCACAGAAAGCCAAACACTGCATGTTCTCATTCATAAATGTGAGCTAAGAAATGCGTACACATGGACATAGAGAGAGGGATGTTAGACAATGGATACTTAGAAGGGTGATAGGTTGGGAGAGATGTGGATGATTACTTAATGATATCTTTTCAGTAGCAGCTCTTCTTTGGTTTCTGACTTGAAGGCTTCTAAATACTAGTGAAATAATCCTAATCGTTTGAACAGCAACACTTAGCCCATTCATAGACTCTAAAGGAAAAACATTAGTTCTTCAAATGAAGAGTCACTATTCTTAGGAATTTCTATGTGTTTGTATACTTTTCAAAATTTCTAAAACCTGGTAATTATCACATAAGAATCCAGTATTAGATAATTCTTTTTTTTTTTTTTTTGAGATGGATACTCTGTCACCCAGTCTGGAGTGCAGTTCCGTGATCTTGGCTCATTGTAACCTCTGCTTCCTGGGTTCAAGCAATTCTCCTGCCTCAGCCTCAGCCTTGCAAGTAGCTGGGATTACAGGCACATGCCACCATGCCCAGCTAAATTTTGTATTTTTAGTAGAGACAGGGTTTCACCATGTGGCCAGGCTGGTCTCGAACTCCTGACCTCAAGTGATCCACCTGCCTCAGCCCCCCAAAGTGCTGGGATTACAGGTGTGAGCCACCGCACCTGACTCAGTATTAGATAATTTTAATTATCTAACTTATAACTGCCAACTAAATATAACTTCAACAAAGTCTGTCTCTGAAACACCCCATTGAGCCATCTAAATTGTCTCACTCACCAGCTCCTTTATTATTAACGGACCCTGGCCTGGCACTCATATTGTATATGACATTGTCCAGTAACTTTCTGGCTGGCCAATATAAGGAAATACAATATTTTTTCTGTATGGTTAATTTGAAATATTGTGACTTATAAAAACAGAACCTCAAGACTCCACCATCACCACAAAGTGCATTCAATTATTGTGTTTTTCACTCTTGAATCAAAGAGTGAAATCAAATTCTTTTCTATAAATAGTAAAGTTTATTTTTTCTTCATCTGTTGAAATATCATTTGTCATCTGTACAGTTCTAGACTAGTGCATTGAAAATTACTTCTCACCTTAATTCACTTACACCCTTCAGCCATAGTAAAGAAAAAAAATTGTATCAGTTCTTATAAAACTTCATGGTGTATCAAAATCAGCTTGAGAAATTGATAAAAATGTTGAATCTTCTCTCACCCTTATCCCCAAAGATTTAAAATATCAAATGGTACATTCTGAATATGTATATTTTTATCAAGATTCGCACCTGATTCTTAAGCACATAAACCCATACAAATGTCAGAAAAACATCAGCAATTTTAACAAATCTATGATGTGTAATATAGATTTCTTTGGATTTAATCTTATTTTAAAATGTCTTTGTAGCAATTAAAAATCTTCTTATTAGTTTGAATTCTTATAGTTTCTATTAATAATGAATGCACAATTTAGTAAGAATTAAGCAATAACATAGTATTAAAAGATGGGAATAATATAGAAGTCATTGAGTTCATATTTTAACTAAAATTTTTTTTTCAAAAAATTCTGTATGTAGGTTTTATAAGTAAGTCTTAGGTATTTTCCTTCAATTAACAAGGGGTTGGTAGCTTGTTGTTGGGAACTGTTGTGCTTATTTTTTTTTTAATAAACAACTCTGCTACCATTAAATCAATATTCTGAATTTTATCAATAAAAATACACTGTATTCTGTTCTCTATACATGTCGGTCAGCATCAGGGGAATGGTACTGAATACAGAGAAAAACCAAAAATTACATATATACCATTAGGGAAGTTAGACTCTTTAGTAAGAGAGAAAGCTTAGGTCCATGAATATACTGCTAACTACCAGATGTTACCGTAATTGATACAAATGATATCAATTATGTGGCTCTAAAAGTTTTCATTTTCTTTCATTAAGAGATACAAATGAAATGCTAAAAAGGATGATAAAAAATAGAAGTTATTTACGAGTGGAATATATTAGAAAGCAACTTCAGAAATAATAGTTTTATACTTAAGCTAGCACTGGATTGCTGGAAAATTTGACTGCAAGAGGTATGAACTTCCATGACTGTATATTATGCTTCACATAACTAATGAATTAAATGTTTCTTTGCACAATTTGTGTTTTATCATCACCGTGATCTAATCTTAAACCTCATCCCATACAGCTTACATAACCATAAGCTCATATTTTTGTTAAAAATTTTATTACAAATATAGTTGCATGGATTTACAAAGATATCTCAAAACATGGTATTTTTCCAAATTCTATTTCTTGTTTTCTATAGTTTTACTACACTTTACCTTCATTAACTGTCCTATTTTATAGTATATTTCTACAGTTTTACATACACTTTAACTTCATTAACTGTCATACTTTATAGTATATAGTTTAAAATGTTTTTTAGACTTTTTTCTCCAACAGTTCTAAAAAGCCTTTAATGATCAATTCTACATATCTCCTGCCAAAACACAATACTGATGGTCAAAACATGCACTTGATCTTTGGATTTCATTATATTTTGTGCTGCAATTCACTTATTGTATTTATTTATAAATTCACTTGAATACATTCAAAGACAATAAGTTCAATACAATAAGATTTTATAATTCTTAATGTTATAGTGGTTTCATCTTTATTGTTTTCATCTATTATAAAAACTTTTCATTCTATTTAAAAAATAAAAAACATTGAAAGCATTTTATTTACTTATGTATTTAAATCTAAGTAATAGCAATGATATCAATAATATCAATTATGTGGCTCATATAATTTGCATAAGTTATCTCTCATTGTACCCACTATGAACTTTTGATTTATTTCTCCCATAATTTCAATTCTTCCACAAAGATTTTAGTTTGGAGACTATTATTTCTACTTGCATTTTTGCCTGGTAACAAAACCCTAATTTTTTTTTTTCTGGTATAGACACAGATCTTTTGATTTCATGAAATAAAAATCCAGTCCCTAGCAAAGGAAGAAGCTGTGACTCAGTGTTGGCCAATAAGAAATAACGTGAAGTTTGTTGGAAATTTTTGGTAAAGATTTTTATTTCCCATTGACTCATCTGAGGGAGAAATAACAAGATCTACCTTATAGTTTTTCTGTAAGGATTAAATGCGAAAAAAAATTGTCTATTTTAAAAGAAAAGATTGGCACAGAGTAAGTGCTAATTGCAGGTTGAGTGTAAAGGGTACTACAATACAAATTGAGGTAGTATAAGATGGTGACCTAGAGTTATGATAACACTTAACCATTAAACCTTTGCTAGCAAATTCTGTCCTCCAGACGTTTTATGAACTGAGAAGACTAAATCTCAATTATTAAGGCATTATTAGTTTAGTGCTTACCTGTTAGTAAAAGCACGCTTAACATAGTACAATGGCCTGAAAATCTATATGCTGGAATCCTCAACCACAATATGATGTTATTAGGAAATAACACCCTTGAGAGGCAATTACATAATTGGTAAGGTTCCCTCATGAATGGGATTAGTACCTTTTTAAAGTGGCCCAAGGGACCTTGCCACCATGTGAGGACAGAATTCAGAAGGTGCCATCTATGAACCAGAAAGTAGGCCTTACCAGACATCAAATTCTCTGGCACCTTTTTCTTAAACTCCCCAGCCTCCAAAAGAGTGAGAAATGATTTCTTTTTTATTTATAATCTACCCAAATTTTATAGCATTTTGTTATAGCAGTCACAATGGGCCAAAAGACATAGCAAACATCTTCGAGTTTTATAGCTATTCTACCTGTCCCTGTCTGTACTTTTTTTTTCTGAGATCAGCTCCTGAAAAGGTGGTAACTCTTGGAAAGATGTTGGAACTCCAGCTCCCTCTCATACACCCAGTACGCCAGACAAAAAGTAGGTAAAGACAGTCTGAAGGTAAAGCATGAAGAATAGCATGAGAACTCTTAGAAACCTTTTTCAGTATAGTGAATTTGACTGGCATGATTAATAAGTTTAAGCAAATCCAAAGGATATTTTTTGGAGAAGATTGAAATGCAAACACAACTCTAGAAAAACTTCTTCAATATAAGAGAAAGAAGATAGCAAACAAAAAAACTAAATAAAACAAGTTTAGTCAAATCAGAATATATATGTAGAGACATATGCATTGTGCATATAAATATATGTGTATATATATGTGTGTGTGCACATATACACACATTTATGTGGACATGCACACAATTATATGTCAGTGTAATTTGCAAACCTAGACAAAATGAATACGCTCTTCTGGAAAAATTTAAAATGCCAAAGTTAGCATAGTAGACATATAAAGAAGCATGACAGTAACTGAAATGCTACTTAGAGACTTCTCATTGCCCACCACTGCCACACCCAACACCCATCCACACATGCTTTATACCCATACAAGATTGTATTACAGAAATATTCTACCAAATTATCAAGGAAAACTCTATTTTATACAACTTTCACAGGAAAAATAAAACATGAGAAAAAATGCCTCACTTATTTGTCAAAGTTAGAATATACTTGTATTAGAGTTCTTTAAAGGTACAGAACGCATTGGAAAGATAAATATATGTAGGGGAGTTTATTAGGAGAATTGACTCCAATAATCACAAAGTGAAGTCCCACTATAGGCCATCTGCAAGTTAAAGAACAAGGAAGCCAGTCCGAGTCCCAGAACTTCAATAGTTGGGAAGCCGACAGTGCAACATTTAGTCTGGGGCCGAAGGCCTGAGAGCCCCTAGCAAATCACTGGTGTAAGTCCAGGAGTCCAAAAGCTGAAAAACTCGGAGTCTGATGTTTGAGAACAGGAAGTATCCAGCAAAGGAAAATGATTGAGGCCACAAGACTCAGACAGTCCAGTCTTTCCACGTTCTTTTGACTCCTTTTATTCTAGTCGCACTGGCAGCTGATTAGATTATGCCCATCAAGGTTGAGGGTAGGTCTGCCTCTCCCAGTCTACTGACTCAAATGTTAATCCACTTTGGCTACACCCTCACAGACACACCCAGAACAAATACTTTGCATTCTCCAATTCAATCAAGTTGATACTCAATATTAACCATCACAAGTCTACCCTTGTCAACTTGAACCCATACACATCTCCTGAAATCATACATACTCTTCAAATAAAGACAATGATGAAGTTATAATTACACCTAATATAATGCAGCTCTTTTTCATACTAGCGGAAACTCACCAATCCCCGACCCAAATGCTATTACATAAACTTAACAACACTTAAATGTTGATATGAAGTCAGTAAATCTTATGTCGTATAAGGGAAAAAGAAAGGAAATAAAATGAAGATATTCTCTTCCTGCAAGTGTGTATATGCACAACCATGTTCTTAACAAAATAAGGAGGAAATACTAATGACAATTACAGCTCCCATTTCTACAACTGGTCATGTGGTCATAGCTGGTATTGATAACTACCTTCTTCTATTACCCATTTTGTATTCCCTTTGCCTTCAGCAAGCACCTCCGCAGATTATGGTTTTTTACCTGGTTGAGTGACCTAAACCTTTATTCCTGAAGGGTCTGGGCTCTTTGTAGTCCTGCCTGGATTGGGTTGTTGTATTTTTCCATTGACCTTAATCACAGGGAATGGTAATATTAAGAGATACCCTAAGGGATACTCCTGTATTCCACACATACTCTACCTTACCTCCATTGTGGAGTAGTAGACTGATTTCATCTTGATAGTCTGAGTCAGTCAACCCAGCCAACACTGTGACTCCCTTCTTAGTCTGTTGACTTAGAGGTAGGAGGAGCCCAAAGTGTCCAGGTGGCAATCTTAACTTCCAGTTTAATGGAACCATTGCTGTGTTTCCTGGTGACAGCATTCCTCCATCTGGAACTAAAAACCTCTAGGCCAGCAGAACATAATGTTGCGGGAACAGGAAGCAAAACTTTTGCTAGTGGATCACTAGGGGTGATGGTGAGTGATGCCACTTCTACTTCCACCCCTTGATTCCTGGACCTGTGAATCCTGGCTATGGGAGAAACAGTATCATATATTGGATGCTGATTCAGAACATACACAACCTTCTGGAGAAATTTGTCCCAGCCCCGCAAAGTGTTGTCATCTAGCTGGCATTGTACTTGTGACTTCAAAAGGCCATTCCACTGTTTTATCAATCTAGCTGCTTCAGGATGACAGGGAACATAGTAAGATGAGTGAGTTCAATGAGCGTGAGTCCACTGCTGCGCTTCTTTAGCCGTAAAGTAGGTGCCTTGGTCAGAGGCAATGCTGTGTGGAATACCATGATGGTGGATGGTGGATAAGGCATTCCATGAGTCCATGGATGGTAGTCTTGGCCGAAGCTTTGTGTGCAGGATAGGCAAACCCATGCCTGGAGTAAGTGTCTATTCCAGTGAGGGTAAACCACAGCCCTTTCCATAATAAAAGTGGTCCAATACAATCAACTTGCCACCAAGTAGCTGGCTGATCACCCCAAGGAATGGTGCCATATCAAGGGCTCAGTGTTGCTCTCTGCTGTGGCAAATTAGGCACTCCGCGGTGGCTGTAGCCAGGGCAGCCTTGGTGAGTGGAAGTCCAAGTTGCTGAGCCTATGCATAACATCCATCCCTGTCACCATGGCCACTTTATTCATGGGACCATTGGGTGATGACAGGGTTGCTGGGGAAAGAGGTTGAGTGGTGTCCACAGAATAAGTCATTCTATCCACTCAATTATGAAAATTCTCCTCTGTGCAGGTCACTCTTTGGTGAGCTCTCACATGACATCCAAATATCTAAATATCTTCACAGGTTTTTTTTTTTGTTTGTTTTGTTTTTTTTTGAGATGGAGTCTCGCTCTGTCGCCCAGGCTGGAGTGCAGTGGTGCGATCTTGGCTCACCGCGAGCTCCGCCTCCTGGGTTCACGCCATTCTCTTGCCTCAGCCTTCCGAGTAGCTGGGATTACAGGCACCCGCCACCACGCCCGGCTAATTTACAGGTGTGAGCCACAGCACCCGACCCTCTTCACAGTTTTTGACCACTCAGTTAGGTCCATCCACATATTTCTTCCCCAAATTTCTTTGTCACCAATTTTCCAATCATGCTTCTTCCAAGTCCCTGACTATCCAGACAAACCATTAGCTGCAGCCCATGAATCAGTATATAATCACACATCCAGCCATTTCTCCCTCCAAGCAGAGTGCAAAATGAGGTACCCTGCTTGAAGTTCTGCCCACTGAGAAGATTTCCCTTCACCACTGTCCTTCAGTGATGTCCTAGAAAGGGGCTGTAGTGCTGCAGCTGTCCACGTTCAAGTGGTGCCTGAATATCGTGCAGAGCTACCAGAATACTAGGCCCTTGCTTTCCCTTTCTCTGTCAACTGATTATAGGGAACTCCCCATGAGGCCATCGGTGTAGGCTGGGGGAGAGAAGGCAGGGTGGCAGGAGTGGAGACCATGTGCATTTGACCTACTTTCTCATGTAACTTACTTGTCCCCTCAGAACCTGCTCTAGCCTGACCATGTTTATACCACTATACCACTGCCATTTGATGATGGAATGCTCCTGTGCATGCTCCAATTTTTGGCTAGATGGGTCAGAAAGCATCCACTTCATGATAGGCAGTTCAGGTCACATGGTGACTTGATGACCCATGGTGAAATGTTTAGTTTCTACCAAAGCCCTGTAACAGGCCAAGAGCTGTCTCTCAAAAGGACAGTAGTTATCTGCAGAAGATGACAGGGCCTTGCTCCAAAATCCTAGAGGTCTCCTATGTGATTCGCCTATGGGGGTCTGCCAAAGGCTCCAAACAGCATCCCTATCTGCCACTGACACCCAAAGCACCATTGGATCTTCTGGGTCATATGACTCAAGTGGCACAGCAGCTGGCACAGCAACCTGGACCAGTTGCATAGCCTTTTCCTGGTCTCCACTCAAAACTGTCAAACTTTCAGGTCACTCAATAAATGCGTAAAAGTAACATATCCAAATAAGGAATGTGTTGCCTCCTAAATCCAATTAGGCTCACTAGACTTTGTGCTTCTTTCTTGGTTGTGGGAGGGGTTAAATGCAGCAACTTATCCTTCCCCTCAGAAGGAGTATCTTGACAGGCCCCACACCAACGGACCACTAGAAATTTTACTAAAGTAGAAAGTCTTTGAATTTTAGTAGGATTTATTTTTCTTGTCTGATATGCAAATGTCTCACCAATAAGTCCAGTGTGTTTGCTACTTCTCACTCATTGGATTCAATCAGCTTATGTCATCAATGTAATGGACCAACATGTTATCTTCTGGAAGGGAAAAGAGATCAAGATCTCTCCAAACAAGATTATGACACAAACCCAGAGAGTTGATATACGCCTGAGATAGGACAGTAAAGGTATATTTCTGGCCTTGCCAGCTGAAGGCAAATTGCTTCTGGAGGGGCTTATGGACTGGAATGGAGCAAAAGGCATTTGCCAAATTAATGCCTGCATACTAGATACCAAGAGATGTGTTAACTTGCTCAAGCAATGAAACTACGTCTGGTACCACAGCTGCAATTGGAGTCACCAGTTGGTTAAGCTTACGATAATCCACTGTCATTCTCCAAGATCCACCTGTCTTGCTCACAGGACAAATGAAAGAGTTGAATGGAGATGTGATAGGAATCATCACCCCTGCATCTTTCAAGTTCTTGATGGTGGCACTAATCTCTGCAATCCCTCCAGGGATGTGATATTGTTTTTGATTTACTATTTTTCTAGGTAGAGGCAGCTCTAATGGTTTCCATTTGGCCTTCCCCACCATAGTAGCCCCAACCCATAATAGCTACCAGTCAGGGAGTCAATGTGGGAGTTCTGCCAGCTGCTAAGTATGTTTATGTCAAATATGCATTCTGGCACTGGAGAAATGACCACAGGATAAGTAGGGGGAACCACTGGCCCCACTGTAAGTCCGACCTGAGCTAAAATTCTATTATCTGACCTCCATAATCCCCTCTTTTAACTGGAGGACCACAAAGATATTTTGCATCCCCTGGAATCAACAACATCAGCTCAGAGCCAGGGTCTAGTGGTACCCTAAAGGTCTGATCATTTTCCTTTCCCCAATGCACTGTTACCCTGGTAAAAGGCTGAAGGTCTCTTTGGGGAAGGATAAGAGAAAGATAAACATCATAAATTGTCAGTAGTGTAGTGAGGTTCTGCCTCAAGGGGACCCAACCTTCCCTTCATTAAAGGGGTTCTGGATCTATAAACAGGTCAAGTCTGAAAATTGATTGAGGGGCCATGATTCTGTTTTTATAATCGAAATTAGCCTTTTATCCACTCGATCTGGAAGTTTTCTGCTTATATAAATTGAGTAACAGTGTAGCAGGCTTCCTGTCAATTTCACTTCTAGGAACACCATGATTAATTAGCCAATGTCAGAGTTCTTCATGACTCAGACTATTCTGATTGTTGCTTTGCCTCTGCTGTCCATTACAGTAACTACACCCACCTTGCCTTTGGTGGTTGAGTGCCACCACTTAGCCTCTGCCACCTTGGGATCCAATTAGTCCCAGTGCATTTGAATTTTGTAGTTGAGTGACTGTAGCTCACCATGTAAGACATGACATACAGAGAAGCACAATCACAGCACTCTTCAAGGATGCAGGTGCTGCCCTCACAAATCCACTTCACAAAATATTGGTGAAGGGTATGTCTTCTAGACCCTCCCAGCTGGGATGAGTAGGTCTAAAGTGACTAATCCACTCTAGCATCCCAATCTCCTTAAGCCTTTGGATCCCTTCATCTACATTAAACCAAGGGAGATTACGCATTTCTAGCTGGCTCACAGTGGGACATCTTTTGATCCGTATTTCAACTAACCAAGCCAATAAACTATTACAACTTTTTAAACTTCTCAAGCTCTAACTGCTACGTTAAATGCAGAATCCCTACTTAGTAGGCCCAAATCAATAAATTCAGCCTGATCCAACTTTATGTTCCTTCCACCATTATCCCACACCCTTAATATCCATTCCCATGCGTGTTCTCCAAATTTCTGCTTATATACATCAGAAAACTCAAGCAGTTCTTTTGGAGTGTAGTGCACCTCTTCATGGTTCACACTCTGACCCTAACCTCTAGGGGCCTGCCAGGACTTGAGTCTTGTTAAATGTCTAGAAGCAAACAGGGGTGTAGTGGGTTGGTCCTGAGGAAAGTCAACATTGTCTTTCCTGGCAACTGTCTCAGGGGAGGCCGTTATTCTCGCCTCGGGCAGTGCAGGGTTATTCTCAAACAAAAGTGGAAAGGCTAATGGCAGGGAGGGTCAGGGTGGGAATTTTGCCACCACTGTGGTAGGGAAGCTGTTTCCTCTGGCAAAAAAAAAAAAAAAAAAGACTCATCAGAGTCATCAGAGTTTACAAGCTCAGTGTCCTCAGCTTCATCAGTGTCCTCCCACACATCCCCCAGTTCAAGTTGCAGAGTCCCATTTTTTTTTCCAATCAATGCCCTCACTTTAACAATAGACACCTGGTGAGGCTGTGCATGCCCCTTTTGTTGCAGGTCAGCCACTTGCATTATAAGAGCTGGTGTCTGATTTTCCACAATTTTAGCTCTTTCTTTACAGGAAACAAGACTCTCACTCAGGGCAATCTTAGAAGATTTGAGGCTCAGTATGCGCTTCTGAAGCCGGGAATTAGTATCCCTGAGTTCACTGTTTTCCTCATCACTTTGTCCAACCAACTGAAGAGTAACCAACCAACTTCATTATATTCCTTTGTTCTCCACCTATCATCATAGATATTATGCATAGAGTCTCTAAACTCCTTGCCTCTCATGAGTAGTGGATCAGGAGTATCAAATGCATTTATTTTGCTTAACTCTAAACAGTTCATACCAAGGACTCTCAGTGTTCTGCATACTATTAGAAGTAGAGTCCTTAGCATTTTTGGATCTAATCATATTAAGCAGCCAACTCCAGAAACCCCAAAATCAACTAAAGAAATCCATCCTTGAAATTCTGTTCCTCTAGAACCACTCCTGGTACCAAAATCTGTATTAGTCAAGGTCCTCTAAAGGGACAGAACTAATAGGACAGATAAATACATGAAGGAGAGTTTATTAGGAGAATTGACTTACAGGGTCACATGGTGAAGTCCCACAGTAGGCTGTCTGCAAGCTGAGGAACCAGGAAGCCAGTCTGAGTCCCAAAACCTCAAAAGTATAGGGAAGCTGATGATGCAGGCTTCAGCCTGTGGCTGATGGACCGAGAGCCCCCGGAAAACCAATAGTGTAAGTCCAAGAGCCCAAAAGCTGAAGAACTTGAAGTCCGATGGTCGAGGGCAGGAAGCATTCAGGATGGAAGAAAGATGAAGGCCAGAAGACTTTCCCAGTCCAGTCCTTCCACATTCTTCTTTCTGCATTTATTCTAGCTGTCCTGGCAGCTGATTAGATTGTTCCCACCCAGGTTGAGGGTGGGTCTGCCTTTCCCAGTCCAGTGACTCAAATGTTAATCTCCTTTGGCAACATCCTCACAGACACACCCAGGAACAATACTTTGCATCTTTCAATCCAATCAAGTTGACATGCAATAATAATCATCACAATAATTAATTTCAAAATTAGTTAAGATGACATGAAAACAGAAAAGTCATTTCTCTTGTGCTCATCCACACCACAATTCTAAATGACTGTATTATCTGAGTCTATCTTTATATTTTTACAGTGGATCATAATTATGAAAGGTTTTGCCCAGATATTCAAATGTTATCTTAATAACAGGAACTTTTGTCAATGTATTCTACCATTAATTAGTTAAGATATGAATTGTAAATTAATGTCCCAAATATATTTGATCAATTTCAATGTATAAAATATTTAATAATGCTCAGAATTAGTAATTTTGAGTAGGAGTTCTCTTTATCTAATATAGCTACCAACATAATATACAAACATCAGAGATAACTATACATGTAATCCCTTTTCAAATCAGTAACAACACTGGAATGTTTACTATTCAACATGAACAGAACATGATAACAAGATGATATACAATTGTTCAATATAATCTCAGAGGAAGAAAAATGAGAGAAGTAGAAGCATAATTCTAAGGGAAATAAAATGTCTTAGGAAAAGCAAGAGTATTAGTCTACAACAAATAAAGCATTTAACACACTCTCCAGATACAAACTCAACTACCAAAAATCAATAGTATTAATAGTAATATATATTACCAATAATTTCCTAGAAAACATAGTAGAAAGCAGAATACTATCCATAATAACAATACACACTTTGAGGTATTATGAGTCTGTTTAAGAATATAAAGAAACGCTAGGATAAATGCCAAGTTAATAGAATGGACTACTTACTATTGTAAGGCTGCCAATTTTTCCCAACATAATATAGAATCCACTGCAAGCCTAATTATATTCGTAGAAAGACTTTTAAGAAGTTTATTTAATATAGGATTTAGTTAATTTCCAGAATTTATATGGGTTAGAAAACTGAACATTTTTTCTTTCTCCTCCTAGAAATCACTCAAAAGTATAAGAATGTGAAAGATAAAAAACCCAAGATTTTTTTTTATGAAACCATAATACATTAATGACTGTCAAAAGCAAGCATATTTATTCAAAATACACATGTACTGAATAGGAGAAAAACTGAGGATAGTTTCCTGATGCTGAACTTAGCTAAAGTAGATGACAAAATATAACTTCTGAGGAGAGAATATGGCCTAAAGGCAAAAGAGTTGCAAGATGTAGAAAATATAAAGCGTGCAGGATATTGGCAGGAGCTCTTCCAGCCCAGTTAATTTCAGATAAATAAAGGCAGTAAGATTTACATAGACTAAGATTCACACAACAAGCCATATTTGCAGGAAGCAGTGTGTGTTTGTGGTTACTGAGAAAGAAAGGCCTTTGGCATTCTGAAAATGAGCTATCTAGATATGTTTAACTTACCAGTTCATAATAATAAGAGAAACTTAGAAAACACCGGGACGAGAAAAAACAAATTCATTCAATAAAAAATTTTAAGGAAAGAAAGAACTAGCACAAGATCTATAAAAATATGCTACAAAGAAAACAACAAAAACACTAGAAAAATGAATTACCTCACAAATAAAAATTATCAGAAAAATGTTGCTATATTGTGTTATGTGTGTATGTAATTACAGACACAAAATTGAATGTATATGTAATGAATACACTGTAATGGGCTTCACAGATCCCCCTTTATAAAAATCTTACTGCCCTAGCTAGTGAGATTGCTTCCAGAAGATAACTTTCAATGTTCAATTCCTTTGCAAAGTGCCTCATTTGAAAAACAATTGATTTGCCCAAAGCCATGTCTATTCCATGAGAAGCCTACATCCAGTGACTAATTAAGGTAGCAGTATACAATAACAGCCTCTTTTCTCCAACTCAGAATAACTTTAAAAGGCTCTGGAAGATCCAGAGTTCCTCATCAGGTAATCTAAGCCCTTCATTTGGGCTGCCTAGTAACACTTTTCCTCCTGTCCAAACCTGCTTCCTTCATCCCCATTCTATAGCTGTCAATTCTCCAATAAAATATTGCATATTTATTATCATCTACTTACTGGACACCATCATTTTGGCAAGTATTACCAAAAATGGAGTCATTAAAAACAGCAGAAGCTAATATTGGATTTTGTGTCTGGATCATTTTCCATCCTGATGGCAATGAAGATTCAATCACCTGTAGTAGATGGACCACAGGTAGCTTCTGGCATAAGACAGTGAAACAATTTTTACAACATTTGTCAATGTAATCTGGGATGGTATCAGTCTACAACAAATAAAGCATTCAACACACTCTCCAGATACAAACTCAAATAACAAAAATCGATAGTATTAATAGTATTATCATATATCAGCAATAATTTCCTAGAAAACATAGCAGAAAGCAGAATACTATCCATAATAACAATACACACTTTGAGATATGATTCTGTGTAAGAATATACAGAAATGCTAGGATAAATGCCAAGTTAATAGAATGGACTAGTTACTATCGTAAGGCTGCCAATTTTTCCCAACATAATTTAAAATCCACTGCAAACCTAATTATATTTGTAGAAAGTATATATACTCTTCAAGTATATATACTCTTTAAAGTACACTCTTGGAAAGGAATGTACTGGCTGGTGCATTTTAGACAAATGGAGGAAATATTAGGTAGACAACTATATTTTATAACAATGGCATGCCATCTGCAGCAGAGAATTGCACAAGTTTTGAAAAGCAGTTACTGGTATGTTACTGGATACAGGTAGAGAAAGACCTCTTGACATGAAACACTAAGGAACAACATAGAAAGTAGTACTCATCATGAACTGGATTTTCTTAAACTCATGGAGTTATAAAATTGAGTAGGACAGCAATACTCCATCATAAGGTAAAAGAGTACATCCTGGAACAAACATTAACAAGACTGGAAAACATAAAACACAAGCAAGCCACATGAGCCAGTAGCCTAAATGTCCATGATATTCACCAGTATCGCACAAGTTATTGCACCAATATAGCAATATGGCATCTTGGGGACATCATTTGTGACCAGATAACAGAGAGGGAAAATCTCCAACTGTGTTTTTGAGTAAGGTGGCTTAGTAAGTGAGCTGTAACTATACTAAATTCCCACTCAAAAGTGGCCTTTAAAGATAGTGGTGAAGCAAAAAATTCCCAGTAAGTAAAATTCACAGTAACCTGGTTACCCATTTTGAATGGCAACTCAACTTGTGAATGTTAGCAAATTCATTAGCCAGCTAGTCAAAGGCCTGTAAGGAGGAAGAATTAAAGAACTGAAATGTGGAAGACTGGAATTGAGGCACCTACTGTGTTTCTGAACTGCTGCTACCAAATGTACAACTTGCCAACAGAAAGCAATGATGATCCCCAGTACTGTACTTCCATTAAGAATCTTTTGGTCAAGTGGTAACATAGATTACATTGAAGCCCTCATTTACAAAGAAGAGAAGCAAATTTCTTAGATAAATTCACATTTTTGTGCAATTGCACTTTTCTTTCATGCTTGTATGGCCTCAGCCAGCACCACTACCAAAGGTTTTACGAAAAATTTAATACATGCATACAGGATACTGCATAATATCACTACATAAGATCACTACAGTAGATCTACTTTATAGCTGAAGAAGACCAAGAGTGGTTTCATGACCATGAGATTGACTTGCCATATTTCATAGCATAGAAGCCCAAACATGCCAACGAGGTAAAATAATGATATAGCCTGTTGAATGCATATAGAAAGTTTTCTTAGGTGCTGACAATGCTGTGTATCTTGATAAGCTTGGGAGTAACATAGGTGTGTTAACTTTGCAAAAGTGTGTCTAGCTTCACTTTTGAGATTTGAGCACGTTCCTGTTGTATTTTATACTTAAATCTGAAAGTGTGCTAAACGTTAGGCAAGAGATGTAATTTGAATACCAAACAGGTTAACAGAATTTCAGGCCAGGAAAAATTAAACAAAAAAAGTATAACACTTTTATAATACTGAAAATGCAACTCATAATTGTGAGGTAACAAAACTTACAAACATCAAATTTTACCAACGGTCAGGAAGCAATTTCTTTAAAAAATACAAAGAGAAATAGAAACCCGCTAGTAGTAAGATTTACTTTATCTCTCTCAGTTCATGATGAGTTAGATGGGGTCCACCCTCAAAAAAGTATATGAAATATGTAAGGATATATATCACTTAATAGGTTAGGCCTAATTGTTACATGCATACGCACACACACACACATAAATAAATGGAGAGAAATAATATATTACATATTTATCTCATCTACTTATTAAATACTCCAAATTACCATATCCTAAGCCAAAATAAAAGTTCAGGCTTGCCACATTCCCTCTAGAAAGACCTCCACATAAGAAGTCTGTCCCTGCTAGAAAGAGAAATCACATAGAGAAAGGTTTAAAGCCATCTTTGATGTATTACTTGAACTGATTATACTATATTAATTTATTTTCTTGGAACTATTTTCTTCTATGTATATTTTTTAAATTTTACTTTAAATTTCTAAAATACTTCGCAAATCAAATAACAAAAAAATTTCAAAAAGCCACATAGTGAGGTGTTTCTCCAAGCTCTGTTCCTCATTAATGTTGTAAACTCAGAAGGAAACCATTGCGTTTAAATTGTCTTGATGATCACATAGATTAGATAGATAGATAGATAGATAGATAGATAGATAGATAGATAGATAGATAGATATAGAGATAGATAATTCTTTAGGCAATACTTTCTGAAGGTGAATTTGTACATTTTTATTGTTTTACTTAAACATATATCTTAGAAATATTTCTTAAAAGTGTATTGCTGGGGAAACAGACTTGAATGTTTAAAGAAAACAGCAGGGCATTGCATAAGAAACTGCATACAATTCATGCCACAGCAAGGTAGAAAGAAAAAAAATTAAAATGAAAGTTGAAGACTGGAATTACAAAGACAGAAAAGAAAACACACACACACACACAGACACACACACACACATCGTAATTTTGACAGCAGGCATGCTGACTTCCAATAAGAATCTGGCTCTGACACACGGATAAATTTTAGGGCGAAGTTTACATGACAACAACAGCTGTCAGATGATTCCAGTTCTGCTAGAGGTGATGATGATCTTAATTTCCTAACAAACATTATTACTTCAGCTTTTTCATTCTCAAAATGCAGTATTTTGTGAAATTTAATACAGAAAAATAGAACCTTTGTAGTTCTATTTGTATTTCTGGTATCTAGAAATACACATGACAGTGAAATGCATCTTGGAACAAAAGCAGATATATAGGCCTGTTGAAAAGAACACAGTTTTGAAATTAAAGTAGTGACATGAAAACTGTCTGGAGAAAATCTATCACCCTTGTGTTAAGACCAGTCAGAGAGAATGCACTCAACTAACATGCAGATTCTTTAATGTGTATTGCCTTCAGATGTCTACAGGTAAGTTAGATATGTAAGTTCCTGTTATGTTCTTCAAAACCTGTGCCATAGAAAGACCAGAATTCCTATTAATGCTTGCAAAATACCATCAGAGGAAGTTTTACCATGGAAACCTGACTTCCTGACCTCAGTGGCTGAATTTCTTTTATGATGCTAAAATCTTAATGAATAGAACAGTAGAAACAGCTCCACAAATTGAATAAAAATCTAAAAGATGATTCTCTTTTTTCAAACCTAGTAGATAAAAAAGGTATTTGTCTTTTTTAAACTATTTAAGAACTCAGTTCCTTAGAATGATAGCTCTATCTTACTCTGAACCATATGAATAAATATATCCCCTTTGCTTTGAGTAATGTCAAAAAACAAAAATAACAACAACAAAAAATATTTCATTTGTGATTATGTAAATCAATGGTAGCTGAGATTAGTTTCCAGACACAAATGGTCATTCTTACATACATGATACTTGAGTCTGGACTCTGAGAAGCTGACACCAGATAGAGTACAACTGATTTTCTGTGTATATGTGGACATTGCTCAGTGCAGAATCCAGTGAAGTATATTAAATGGAGATTACAGTAACCAAAAGACATGTGTTCTCAGATTTGGGAGTCAACTTGGTCTTCTGCCCATAACACCAAATATTAAGATAAAATAAATCTAGAGGGAATAGTGCTTTCCCTGTAACCAGACACTGCACAGATAAGGAGATTCTTGAACAAATTAATAGTGTATATTACATCTGTTTTGAATGTAATGCCTGAGATGTATAACTGAATAAACAACCTGAATATTACATGAAAACTTTTAGCTTCCTAGCAAGTGGTATAAAAAACTTTAAATTAAAATACAATTTTGGAGATGAAGAAAATTCATCTGGAATATAGAATTGGTTTTACTAATATCTGCTTTAAGTAGCTTGGTGCCATTAGCTTATAGAATTTTATATCGATTTGATTACCAAGTAAAAGTAAAAAGTACTACTTAGTAGGATACTTGTAGGATATGGTGATGGATCTTGAAGTGTTGAGGGGGATTTTCCCAGCAGAAGAACAAAAATCTGAATTTATATACTGCTCAATTTAAACATGTTACAGTATTGAATTAGTTGCTGTTTTTGATTTTCTTCAGTGCTCCAAATGGCAAAAATTTGAAAGATTTGGGGTGCCGAACACTAAATTGCACGTTTCTTTTGAAATGAGAATAATGTACTACATGTTTTTGTATATAAAATTGCATATATATATATTATTTGAAACATTGATTTATAAAACAACAGAGCTAAAATACATAGTTTGAACACCAGAATAAGGTTTTCATTTATTTTAGTGTTAGTACATTTCAAGTAATAATATTTGCTCTGTTTCTAATGTTTAAACTCCAGCCAACTACATGTTATTTTTGTCCATACATAATAAGCTTCAGGTAACAGCAATACTTCTAATATGTTCATTCAGTGGACAAGTCAGATATAAATGGGAAACTCTACCAGAAGAAGCAACCCTCAGAATAAACTATATTCAAGTAGACTTCTAAAAAGAGATATTCATTAAATATTTTATGAATCTAGAGCAATTGTCAATAAAACTTATGATAGAGAAACTCATCAGTGATTCTCAAACTTTGGCATGCATCAGAATCACCTAGAAATGCTCTGAAAATACAGATTACTGGGCCCACTCCTCAAAATGTCTCATCCAGGAGATCTTGGTTGGGGCCTGACCTCAGTGGCTGAGGTCAGGACACAACCTGACGTAATGAGTTCCTGGGTGATAGTGATGCTGCTGATCCCAAGACCACACTTTGAGAAAAGCTGTTTTAATAGACTATGGCTGGACACAGAAAAGATTCCGACATGCTAAACAACTCTTAGAATTTATCAGAATCTGTTTATATATATATATATATAAATATATATATATTCATAAAATTAGTTACACTGGGTCTAAGTTCAGACACAGTCTTTCAAATAAGGCAATTCTAGTAGAGAAAATATTGGGTTGGTGATATCAATTTTCATGAACTTGGTGAGTTAAATCTGGAGATTCCTGAAAATCCTAAAGATCTTTATTTTTCTAGTCAAAAATATAACCAAGAATATTCCAGTCTATTTTTTCCTAATGATGTGTGTCTTATTAAAATGAAAGCTTATTTTATTTTATAGAAATCCTTACTGTTGATGCTAGACCTTCTCCTGTTTCCACTTCTTTTTCGGTTGTGGAAATAATAAACATTTTATACCATCATATTAATTTCTTGTAATGAACAGTATATTATTTAAAACATTATGTAATACTTTCCACTATTTCCCATATGCCAAAATATTTAATATCTATATCTGCCTGTCTATGTAGCTATCAATCCACCTGTGATCTTTCCAGATTTCATACATTTTCCATCGTAAATGTTGGCATGTCAGTTATTGTTTTCTTACCTCTCAGCTCCAAATTCATTTTTCATGGCTTTTCTGAACTCTATTGTTTCAATTAAAAACATTTAAAAAATATACTTTTCTCCTATGTCAGCTGGCAAGACGCTTAAGGTTTGTCAGTAGATGGCGCTGGTGAGACACAAGAGTAGAAAAGGACTTGATTCCAGTGTGCTTGTTTCCTTTTTTCTCCTACTGTGTGTTAGCTGCATGCAGGAAAGGCAGCCAGCGGCATTTGCTCCAGCCAGTTCCAGTAGCTTCCCAGTCATTTCCGCAGCAGCCTCACAGGACACCTCTGCTTGCTTGAGGCACCTTAGCAAATTCTGTCATCCAGAGCCAGAGTTGTGCTCTCTGCCATGAGGCCTGAATGGCCAGGCCACTGAAGGAAGGGAATCCTCCAGATTTATTGCTTCCTTGGGGGTTCTGACTCCACCCTAGCAACAGTGACTGTTGTCTATAATTCTTTATTCTTTAGAATAAATGCCTTCCTGCTTTTAAATAATTCTCATATTGCATTTTCATTTATTCCAATTGCTGCATATTTTCTGTCCTGTGGTTGAACCCTAATACAGTTGGTTCCTGTATTCCTTAACAGTAGTGTTATTCTTTAACAATAAAGTGTGCATAGTGTGTGATTTTTCCATGTATTATAGGGCAACATTTTTAATGAGTATATTATATTTTAATATGGAATAAATACATATTTTACTTGTTAAATTTCTATATTTACAAACATTTTAAATACTTAAACTAATCGTATGATGTACAAATTTCAGAATCTGTGATAATTTGAGTTAAATCCATGTCCTTTTCAGCGTGTGCAGTTTTAAAAAATACACAATTTAGCCAAAAATGGCAAATGCTCAACTATATTATCTATTTTGATATTAAAAACTGAGATGACTGATATGTTCATTTGTTTCACTATAAAAATCATTTTCATATATGTGTATTTTATAACATTGTACTGTACACCTTAAATATACACAATAAAATGTAGTTTTTAAAAAAGACAACAAAAATAAATAAATACATAAATGCATTATCTAAAATGTTAAGGAAAGTAAAACAATATGATTATAAACATTCAAATTTTCCAATAACTCTTATGAATCATACATTCTGAAAAAACAATCACTTTTACTCCCTCAGTTGTGTAATGGCTTAATTAAATAATTTGGACTGAGTAGGGTGAAAATACAACTCTCCTTATCTTCCCTACTAATGACCATTTATGTCTTCTCTCTGGATTCCTCCTTTCCTGCTGCTGGATTAAATGTTGGAATGTTTCCATAATCTTTTCAATCTTTTTAAGCCTACAACCGTAAAATGAATGAGTTCATGTCCTTTGCAGGGTCATGGGTGAAGCTGGAAACCTTCATCCTCAGCAAACTAACACAGGAACAGAAAACCAGACACTGCATGTTCTCACTCATAAGTGGGAGTTAAACAATGAGAACACATGGACATGGGGAGGGGAACATCACATACTGGGGCCTCTTAGAGGGTGGGGGGAAAGAGGAGAGAGGGCATTAGGACAAATACCTAATGTATGCGGGTCTTAAAACCTAGATGATGGGTTGACGGGTTGATGCGCCACCATGGCACATGTATACCTATGTAACAAACCTGCATGTTCAGCACATGTATCCCAGAACTTAAAGTAAAATTTAAAATAAATAAATAAAAATAAATGGAAAAAAAATCTCTTAAGCCACATAACCCTCATATTTAAGTGATCAATAGAATCCACAATATTATCAAAACTTCCAGCTTTTTTCTTGTTAAAGCTTTCCTCTCCACACAGCTTCAACATTTGCTTGAAAAATTATGGCAAGATTGCTAAGCTGACCCTTTCTCTTCTTATTGTACTTAATCCTTTGCTCATAGACTACTGTTTCTGACTCTTCCAATGTCTGCGTGAGGGATGGAGTTGGGGTTGGGGAGGGAATTTGAGGCAGGGTCCAGTCTTATGTTCATATGCGGTGGCTGTGCTCCATTTGGTGAGTCACTTGTGGAGATTTCTCTGCTATCTCCAGCTGAAAATGTCTGAATGTATTTGCTTTGGAGCAGATAATGTCTCTTTGTCCTCTGCTATAGACACTTAGGATTCTTTTCTTAACCTCTGGGGTTTCAGTCATCCACCCTTCCACTGGTAATCTTTTATGTATTCTCTTGAATGAGATCCTTCTAAGATGAGCCACTCTTGTCTCTGCCTTCTCTCTGCAGGGACTAGCCCCTAGAGACATGCAACTTGGTCCATGAATGGAAAGCCAACAAACAGGTACATTTTGTTTTCATTCTTCCTGCAGACAGAGGTAGATCTAACCATAGCCTCTGACTGTTTAAGTCTTAATACTTCAGTCAAACATGATACCTTTTGTTCTTCAAGCTCTAGGGTACACATGTCAAGCTTTGTGAGTACATGTATTTCCTTTGAAGCATCTTTCTGATGAGTTTCAAATTGAGGAGAAGGGTGGGCATTATTTCTTTGCTCATTGAGGGAGAGAAACTAGCACATTAACATTCTCTCTAAGGAGAACTCTACTAGACTATTCAACCGTTTTTATAAGCTGTAAGGGATTATTAACTAATGTTAGTAGAACCAATTTTCTTCAGCTCCTTCATAAGTCCTAAAGAATGAGATGGATCTCCATCTCATTTTATATTATGGAGTGCCTTGTAACCTATTACTTTGTTCTCCATATTTGAAACTTCTCCCAACATTCAGAAAATAAGGAGAATAACATTTAATAAGCTGTTATATTTGCATAATAAGAATGGCTTTATATTTCTGTCACTATCTTGTTGGATCTAAAAGTTCTGCATATGAACAAAGATAAAAATTCTGCATATGAACAAAGATAAAAGAGTTATTTCAACTTCCTGGCAC